>NC_000020.11:7945122-8096638 GCF_000001405.40 Homo sapiens | reverse complement strand
AAATTTTACTGATGGAGTGAGTGTAGGATCAATGAATTATATCTCATTACTTTCAAGGAAATGTGCAGAGCCCTAAGACAAAGTAACAGGTTACCCCTGGTCGAGAAAATCCTTACCTGCCAGCCTTCTCAGTGCTGCCTCTACAATCTTTGTTTCAATGTGGTGCTTTTATTCACTTGCTTCCACTGCTTCACAAGCCTGAAGTTTGTTTCTACTCTAAGAGAAAGTGCGTGTAAGCTCTTGGCAGCACTGAATTTTTGCCTTTGTCTCTAGGTCACCTGAAAGTCTCTGAGATCTGTTACCTAATTCTCTACCTATGCAATTGGATTTGTTTTACCTAATCTCTGTCACATCTTTGATTCTTGCATTTGCCAATTCGATTTATGATTACTGATTAGCCAATATACTATTTCCTATCTGATGTTCAGCTCTATTTTTGGATCACATTAGCCCATCTGTTTACACATTCTTCCTGTCTACCTTTAGTTTCTATACGCCCTGGCTCACTCTCTGCTATTGAGCTCAGTGGTCTTCAAGCCTCTTTATCCTGCTCTCATTCCATCAGTAAAATTTGTTTTGTATACACTGTAACAACGTAAATCTATCTGTAAATTGTTTAAATGTACTAATATATTGATATATTGTTTGGATTTTAAATTATCTAATGCTGCATTAAAAAACCCACAAAACTTAATAGCATAAAACAACAAACTTTTTTTTTATGCTCATGTACTCTGAGTCAGAAATGTGGACAGAGGTTGTTTTGCATTGGTTCCATAATGGCTGGAGTTTCAACAGGAAATCTCAAATAGCTGAAAGTGACTCAAAATGCTGAAGTATGGGATCATCTGAAAGCTTCTCTGCTTACATGTCTGGTGCTTAGGCTGGGTTCACCTGGGATTTGTGATGGACCAGAGTGCCTACATGAGAACTCTCCTTGTAGGTTGGGCTCCCTCACAGCATGGGGATCTCAGGATGTTTGGACTCATTACATAGTGGTTCAGGGTTGCAAGAGCAAGTGTTCCAGTAAACAAGGTGAAGCCTGCATCACCTTTTATGACCTAGCCTTGAAAGTCACATAGCATCTCTTTGGCCACCCTCTATTTATACAAAAATTTAAATTCAAGGGGAGGGAACATAGACCCAAATCTTGATGAGAAAAATGTCAAATAACTATGGCTGTGTTTTAAAACTTTTGCATGTATTTTTACATTTACATGCAAACGAAAGATAAATTTTAAAGTATGAGATAAAAGTAAGTATTAGTATAAGTTATAATATTTAATTTTTGACCCACTGAATCAACTTACTTGCTCATTGATTATGGATACCATACTGGAGATTCATTGGTCTAAATGAGTGAGAGTTAACATTTTCTTGCTGAAGCTTTAAGCATGGTTAAAGTTCACATATGGGGCAACTCTCAGAGATACACCAGTTTTATGCACCATTCCCAGCACACTTGTTGCAATGCTACCACTTTCTCTCCTACTCTGTAATTTGTATAACAATTCAAGGAAGTGAAAATGACATTTTTATGAGAGTAGCCCTGATTCCATTCTGATTTAGTAACAATATGTATTAGTCATAGTCTGTTATGAATAAATTACTTGTATCACACGTCACGATTATGGCATATTGGTATAGTGACACAAGGATCAACAATTGTTATGTGAAGTGCTATTGCACAACTCTAATGTTGGCCTCCCTTGTCCTGCAATTCACCTCTTTGAAACAAAGTTTGCTCAAGACTGGGAGAATATTTAAGAATAAATATGAGAAGATAAGTAATATTTATTTGTAAATATCTGCTCCTCTGCAGTGTGATATAGCTCTTCCAGCTATTATAGTCATTTCCTATGCTGGTGACCCATGTTTCTCTCCTGGGTAGGTTCAAGGTGAGAGGACAGAACCCCTGCAGGGTAGCAAGAAGTAAACAAGATAGAGAATTTCACAATGAGAAAGTGAAGGGAGAGGTAACCATGGGGATATAAACCTTCTGTGGAACTTGTGGAAATCTTAGAGAGGGCAAGAAAATTTGCACAGAATTCAGTCTGGGGATTGAAGCCAACTTTGTAAATCTCAAAGGACACGATGTAATGTTTGGTAACAAAAACATGAAGCTAGTAAAAGTGTTGGCTGGCATTCAGCCAAGAGCCCAGTTCCCTCCAGTTCTTGTTGGCAAAGTAAAGAAGCCTGATTTGGCTGCCTGTAAAATGAGAGTAAAAGAATCTGCTACAGCAAAAATATGGCCAATGTATAACCTTATAAAGAAGTTTTAACAATTTAAAACAAAGCAATGATAGTTTCTAGCATCAACTGCTCTGCCTCATTCATTCCCCACCATCATACAACTTTCAACAGGAGAAGCATTATATCTCAAAAGAAATGCACACCAAGGGATGTGCAAGATGATCTACTGTAATATGTAAGGAAAATATGAGCACTTTTATTTATGTTTATTTTGTAATCCATGTTTTAAAATGTATGGATTGCATTAGTACAGAAGTGCATACATATCATTTATAAATAAATCTATTTTATAGACGGTATGTATAAGTTATTTTTTACTTATGAGCACTTGGAGTTTAAAATGTTCAATATCGTAGATTTAGATGATAAGGTGTGATTTGGGGGAACCCAGAAGCTAAAAGTACAGTTGAATCAGAACATGCCACAGGGTAGGCTAGAAGAGTCAAAGAATCTGCTAAGCTTTAGACAAATTATCAAGTACTTCTCTAGCTTTTCTGTATATAGCATGACAATTGCCTACAGAACTGTAATGAGTTGAGAAATACTAAGAAAAATTATGAAAATCTACTCACAGAGGATAAGACTCCTTATAATAATAAGTTGACACATGTGTCACTGCAACCTATAAATTCTGGCAGGGAAATATGGACACCACCCCGATCCCTCTAACTATGGCAGTTAATAAGATTTGAACTCACAATATTGTGTTTACATTAAAATAGGAGGAATTGACATTGTCAGACATTTTATGTATGTTAACCTATTTGATCCTCATGACAGCTCTGTAAAAAATGGTTAATATTTCTCCCACTTTACAGAAAATGAACCAGAGACTATGCACTTTGCAGAATGCCTCTCGGCTAGGAAGGGAAGAATCAAGATTCAAATCCAATTCTTTTGACCCCAAATGTCATGGCCTTGGACTGTTGCAATTATTCCTATCTAGACAAAAATAAAGAAGTTCTTTGAAGTTCTCAGATTTCTAAATGCTATTGTTTTCTCTGCATTTTTGGAGCAAAGGAGGGGCAGTGCCCACCGGTCTAATGTTTTGAAATGGGAAGAGGATGTTAATGTAATATTGAAATTCATATTAAAATTAGAAAGTAAGATCATTAAAAACTCTGCTCATAGCATTTAGTTGTTGACCCCTGAATGATTTGTGGAGCTTTCTTTGACATTCAGCAACTGAATGTTGAATTAGAGACATGTTAATTGGAAAAAGTTAATTGTCATCTCCATCTCATTAAACCAATTCTGTGGGACAATTCAAGAGAGTACATGGCTATGTAATTTCCACGCATCATTTGTTTGCTAAGTCACTTAGCCCTGGATACCATTTATTTTTCAATTCAGAGCTAAATACGTACATGATTAAAAGCTCGGTCTTCAAAAAGGGTTGATGTGGGTTTGATGGAAAGGGTCAGTCAGGGCCTTTTCTTAGCAGCAACCGCATTGGGCAGAGAGCACATCTTCCCAGAGTTTCTTAGCAGCAACCCCATTGGGCAGAGAGCACATCTTCCCAGAGTTTCTTAGCAGCAACCCCATTGGGCAGAGAGCACATCTTCCCAGAGTTTCTTAGCAGCAACCCCATTGGGCAGAGAGCACATCTTCCCAGAGGGTGTATGCACCTCAAAGCATGCTATTAAATGATAAGAAGGAGGAGGAAAATGCAATTTCTCTAGAATAACTTTTGCAACTACAGAAATATCATGCACAGGTGGATATGCAATTCTTTCCCATTCTTTCCTAAATGTACAATGCTGTGGCCTGTGATGAAATATTTGGAATATCTAAGGAACTGTGTCTCCTGGGAGTTGCAGATAATAACCCATTGCCTGCAATGATCATATTTCTATTGTCTGAAAAGGTGAGGAAAAACCATGAGGGCTCTACAGACGTGAGTGACTCAGTACAGTGGATTCGGAAACAAAACTACTAATCGGGTGCAAGAGAAAAGAGCAAATCTCAGTCAAAAAATTTCATGGTGGTGGGGATATGAGATACACTATGATATATTTGAGAATAGTTTTTTTAAAGGAAAAAGTAACAGGAAGTTTATATTTACCATGTAAAATTGTTTGATAAAATATATGAGTATTCCATTAAATATTCGTTGTATTTTATATACTTGATTCCTGTTTCAATGAGGTTAAATCAGCAAAAACATTTTTTAAAATTGAAGCATTAGTAAGCAAGTTAGAATAAAGCCACTCGGGCCAGTATGGAATTACCAAAGATGAGAAAAGATGATAGTGAGAGAGGCGTTTGTCCTCCAAGCCTGATTTATCATCTATCCTGAAGTATCTTCTGTAAAACATACTTGCTCTCTCCTCCCTTCCACTAGTCTTATTGAAACCTTTAGTTTTGCACTTCACTTCTTGATTCAGGAGCTTCCAAATCCTCTTGAAAATGGAGATTGTCCCAAGGGTCCATTGAGATGGTGTTTAACTACACTTACTGAGTGCCTTGTAACTTTTAGTCCCCTGGGATATGTTGTTAACTTGACCTTAATTAAACCAAAAAATTGATTGCTTATGTTCATCATTGTCTTATCTATACATTCTACTCATTTTCCAATTTCTGATTGAGCAAAAAATTGCTCTGAGTGCCATGCTACCCTGTCCTCCCCATTCTTTCTTTTTCTTTCTAATTGACTTCATTCCCTCCATCAGTAATATTTTTATTTCCCAAAATTTTTCATTCATAGAAATGTGTGGTGTCAGTTATTAGGCTCCTATTCTGTACCAGGCCCTAAGCCAGATGTTTTACAGTATTAATTTTAATCTCTAGCTGTATGGAGGCAGATTGGGAAGAAAAGGAACTATTATAGTATTTTCTCACTCTCAAGGTTTGCAATAAACATCACCTTCTTGGCTGCCAAATGATGAATATTACCTGCCAGCTACTGCAATGTATGAGAAATGGCTAGATTTAATTAGACAGAATCAAAGGACTGGAGGAGAGATTGAAAGCTGTCACTTCAAGTTTCTCAGCCTTTTGTGGATATGTATGTGTGCGTGTGTGTGCGCACGTCTGTGTGTGCATGCATGTGTGTGTGTGCGTGTGTATGTTATGTATGTACATATATAATATGTGCATATATAGAGAGCGTAGTCCAGTATACACTTTTATATATTCATCAGAAACAAAATGATAAAGATGCCCCCATTAAAAAAAATAAAACACATGTGATGATAAACTAGTGACTGACCTAACTTATTTTTTCCCCTTAACTCTAGTAATGCTTTTACATTATCATCTGGGCCTCTCATTCGCATGATTTCCAAAAAGTGAGCTATTTACATTTTCCAGGAATCAGTCTTGAGAAGGTTTAAGTCAGTGGCTTTCGGGGGAGTCCTCACTGGAGAACACCTTCAGGGATATATGTATGTATATCTGATTCACAGTGCAGTCTTCTCAGCTTTTCACTAGAATCTCTGGAAGAAACAGATAAAGGTGAAAATAATGCAAGAGAAAAACTGGGATGATGACCTTTCCCTAAGGCAGAAACTGTGAAAAAGGGACTCCCAAGAGGAGCAAAAGGACCCGGATGCCGTGCAATGGCCTTAGTGTGAAATGCAGAGGAGCTCAGTTTGTTTCTAAATGTTCTAAAATGTTTTGTTGGTTTTTTGCAACCCAAGTAAAGGTTTCTAAAATGTTCCACAATTAGAATTTCTTCCTGAAGCCTAATCTGAATTTATTGTGTTAAGATTTAGATCCATATTTTCTTGCTCAACTTTAACTATTTGAAAAAAATTCTTTAATGTCTGTACCTGAATTACTGTTGTTCTTTATGTTATTACTTTATGTGATTTAGAGTCCCTTGCCTGTATGTAAGTAATCTGATCTTTTAATTTTTTTGTTCTGTGTACATTTTTTGCCTCAATTTAATAGCTTTCTTGTTATTATCAATAATATTAAAAGTAATAGTTGTTGAGTATTAACTAGGTGGCAAGGACTGAAATATGATTTACATAAACTGTAGAGAGTAGTAGTGAAGAGTAAATGCTCTGGAATTTGAAATTCTATGTTTGAATTCTGCCCTTACCACTTAATACTGTGTGACCTTAAGCAAGATACTCCCTGTGTTTTAGTTTATTCATTTATTAAATTGCAATAAGGAATTGCAGGGGACTTCTGGTTCCAGCAACAATAGAATAATAGGGATCAGATTTATCTTTCCATCAGAAACAATAAAACCAACTGGATGAAATATATTAACTATGGTTTTCAAGACACTGGACATTAGACAAGCAAGAATGGCGATCCCAGAGAGACATGAAACCAAGGAGGTGAGTCGTTAAGTGGCCCCATTCTATGAATTTTTATGCCTTGGCAAAGAGAGGGAGAATCCCAGGGAAAGCCCAGAATATTCTGGCCTTAAGTTGAGGAGAAGGAGCTGTGTGTGGAGAGAACAAGTTGTCTACAGTTCTCTTGACAAAGTGTTGGAAACGGGAGAGCTGAATAGAGACAGCATTCCAGAAATATGCAAGGGGTGTCCTGTGGCTACTCAGCAGAGCAGTGATCGGCACTTGCTTCTATAGAGATTACCCGAGACCAAGGAAAGAATGAGTCAAAAGGATTAGAATGAACATCGTCTAACACTCACACAGGGCTGAGAACAGTGGCTGTACCAACTAGCCAGACTGGAGAACCTCAAAATTCATATAACATTGGATACAGTGCCTCAGTAGTAAAGAATAATTAACCTTCGACTAAGTATCCTATGGATTCACTTAACAAGTTATAAAAGCAAGACCTGAAAGGATTAAACTGTTTGTAAGTAACTTAACTCTCTTCTATAATAAAGCTACAGGACACATTTATAGTAATATATAAATATTAACACACGAAAGGATAAAATTTGCAATCAATGCCAGCTATCCAATAGAAAATTGCTAGGCTTAAAAGGAAACAGGAAAATAAGATTCACAATGAGAAGAAAAATCAATTACTTGAAAATAATCCAGAACTGACACAGATATTAGAATTAGCAGGCAAGGACATTAAGGCAGCTTCCATAGATTCAAAAAGATAAATAGAGAAATGAAAGATCAGATTACACATCTAAGAATGAAACCTATAATGTCTGAGATAAAAAATACACTGGATGAGATTAATAGCTGATTGAGCATTACAGAGTAAATTGTTAGAAAATGTGAAGACATAGCAATACAAACTATCCGAAATGAAATGCCAAGAGCTAAGGAACAACTTCACGTTGCTTACCTACACAAGTAAATAGAGATGCCAAAAGGCAGGGTTTTTAAAGAAACAAAACTGATATTTTTTCCCAATTTGATGAATAATGAAAAACCAAAGATCCAAGAAGTTCAATGAACACCAAAAAGAAGAAGAAGAAGAAGAAGAAGAGGAAGAAAAGGAAGAAGAAGAAGAAGAAGGAGAAGAAGAAGAAAGTATACCTGGGTACAGCTTGATCAAATTGCTCAAACTCGGTAATAATGAGAAAAATTTTTAAATAGCAAGAAAAAAAGATATCTATATAGATGAACAAAAATATTATTCTCAGAAAACAATGCAAGAGAGAAGACAAGGGAGCAACAGCTTGAAAATTCTGAAACCTTGCCCATTCTCCCCCCAAGCCTGTTAACTCAGAGTTCCAAATGCCCAGAAAAGAAACCATATTTTAAACACAAATATGAAATAATGAATTTTTTTCAAACACACAATAGTCGAAAGAATTCATCTCCAACAGATCTATGTTACAAGAAATCTTAATGGAAGTTTTCTTAACAAAAGAAAAATGACAGCAGGTAGAAATATAGACCCACAAAGAAATGAAAAACACTGGCAATGTTAACTATGTGGGTAAATATAAGCGAATTATTTTTCTTATTATTTAAATTGTATTAAAAGAAAATTTATTGTTTAAACAAAAATAATAATGTAGTGTGGGATTTATAACATAAGTAAAAATGTAACAATCAAGATTTGGGAGAGGAGATATGAAATGGTATATATGATTGTTAAGATTGTTAAACTCTATACTGACTATATTATCAGTTGATGGTAGAATGTGTTAAGTTAGAGATGCATGTTACAAACCCAAAAAAGACCACTAAGCAAATGCAACAAGAAATTATACCTAGTAAGCCAACAAAGGAGATAAAATCACAAAATACTTAATCCAAACAATGGAAAAAGGAAAAAGGGAGATGAGACAAATGCAAAATAAATAGCAAGGTGACAGACTTAAATCTAAGCATAACAGTAATTACATTGAATGCAAATGTTTCAAGCACTCCTACTAAAAAGCAAATGTACTATATTGGAAAATCATAAGGCCCCAATTTTATATTGTGTAAAACAAAATATAATTTAATGTAATAATAAACAAGTTAAAACTAAAAGAGTGAAAAAATATAAATATACTGTGCTCATTCTAAGCAAAAGAAAGCTGAAGAGATTATGTGAATATCAGAAAAAGGCATTTTTAGAGTAAAAAATATTACAGATATAAAGAAGATCATTTCACAATGATAAAGCAGTCAACACATCAAGAGGATGTAACAATCCTCATTGTTTATGCATTTAATAACAGAATTTGAAAATACATAAGTGAAAACCGATAGAACCATAGGAAAAAATGAGTAAATCCACAATTATAGTCAAATATGTCAATATGTCTCTCTCAACAAATGGTAGAACAAAACAGAGAATAGTAAGAATACAGAAGTTTGAACAACATAATCACCCTACTTGATTTAATTTACATTTCTAGAAACCCATCCCAACAATAGGAGAATACCCATTACTATCAAGTACACAGAAAACATTTGCTAAGATAGATAATATTCTGGGCATTAAAATAAATCTCAATAAATGAAAATGGATTCATATCATGCAAAATACATTCTCTGTCAACTTGGGAGAAAAATAAACATCATTAACATTAAAAAACTCTAAAAAATCCACAATTATTTGGTAATAACTTCTAATAATCCATGAGTTAAAAAAGAAATCAAAAGATAAATTAGGAAATATTTTAGACTGAATTAAAATTAAAACAAAACATTTCAAAATTTGTGAGATGCTCTAAAATCAGCATTTACTGGTAATTTTACAGTACTCAAATCCTATTTTATAAAACAAGAAAGATCCTAAGTCAATTACCTTAACCTCCATCTAAGAAACTAGAAAACAAAGAACAGATTAACATAAGCAGAAGAAAGGAAATAACAAAAATCATACTGGAAATCAATGGAATACAAGACAGAAAAATAACAGAGAAAAATAAATACCAAAGGCTGATTTTTTGAGAAGATTAATAGAGCTGATAAACCTCTTGGCAGACAGACCAGGAAAAAAAAAGTGAGAAGATACAAATTATAAGAATTAAGAATTAGAGAGGTGATATTACTGCAAATTTTACAGATCTTAAAAGGATAACAAGGAAATATTATGAACAACTGCACGCTAATAAATTCAACAAAAAATTAAATGCACAAATAATTTAAAAGAAACAAATGACTAAAGCTCATGTAAGAAAAATATGTAAGTGGAATAGCCCTATATCTTTTAAAGAAATTGAATTTGTAATTAAAATCTTTCCCACAAAGGAAACTTCAGGCTTAACTGGCTTCACTGCTGAAGTCTAGCAAACATTTAAGGAAGAAATGATATCAATTTTCATACAAATACATCCAGAAAATTGGTGAGCAGGGAATATTTCCCAACCCATTGTATGAAGTAGCACTATTAATAATACAGAAGACGGACAAGATACGTTATATTATATGTAGACCAGTATCCCTCAGAAATGCATGTGCAAACATTCTAAACAAAATTTTAGCAAATGAAATCATTTGATAAATAAAAAAGGTAATATATCATGGATAATTAGGTTTTATCCATTGATTGCAGGGTTTATGTAACATTAAAAAAAATTAGTCAGTGTAATGCACAATATTAGTAGACCTAAAAGGAACCCCACGACCTTGTCGATAAATGCAGAAAGAGGATTTGATAAAATCTAGTATCCATTCCTAGATTAATTCTTAGCAAACTAGCAACATAAGGGAAGTTACTTAACATGATAAACAACATCTACAATAAACCCACAACTAACATCATAGTTAATGGTGAAAGACTAAATGCTTTCTTCCTAAGATCAGGAGCAAGACAATGATGTTCACTCTCACTATTTCTATTTAAGTTTGTACTGGAGATTTCATCTACTGAATACAGCAAGAAAAAGAAATTAAAATTGTTCCAACTGGACAGGAAGAAGGAAAACTGTCTTCATTCAAAGACAGCTAGATTATATCTTGAAAATCCAAATAAATCTACAAAAAAAGCTCCTAGAACTAATAATTGACTTGAACAGGATTTCAGAGTACAAGCAATACACAAAAATCAATTATTGTTCTATATATTAGCAGTGAATATTCAGAAATTAAAATAACACCACTTACAATAGCATCAAAAATGCAAAGTACTTAAGGATAAGCCTGAATAAAGATGTGGCAGTGCTAATCATTGAAAACTACAATTTTAACTGCAACATATTACTGAGAGAAATTAAAGAAGATCTAAATAAATAGAAAGACATCTCATGCTCATGAATCTAAAGATTCATATTGTTAATATGGCAATTTTCTCCAATTTGATGAATAGATTCAACGCAATCTCAATCAAAACCAGAGTAGGCATTTTATTGTGAAATTGACAAGATTCTAAAATTCAAAGGAAAGTGCAAAGGACCTGAAATAGCCAAAATAACTAAAAAGAAAAGCAAATTTGGAGGAGTAACTCTACTGGATTTCAATACTTATAAAGCTATAATAATTAAGACAGTGTCGTGTTTGTGTGACGGTAGACAACGATAATAATAGATCAGAATAGAAATTCCATAAATAGACCTACATATTCATTGACCATTGATTTTAGGAACAGGCGCAAAGGAAAATCAATGGAGAATGAATAGTCTTTTAAACAAGTAGTACTGGATATATTGAATAAACAAAAAATAAATTTTGATCCATATCTCTTAGTATATATACAGATTAATTCAAAATAAATCGTAGATTTCAATATTAAACTTAAAACTTTAAAACATCTTGAAGAAAACAAAGGAAAAAGCCTTTATGACCTTTGGTTAGGCAGAGTTCTTAGATAAGATGCCTAAAGCATAGTTCATACAAGAAAACATTGACAAATTGGACTTCATCAAAATTAAAAATTATTTTCAAAAAACGGTATTTACAGAATGAAAAAAATGAACCTCAGAATGTGAGAAATATTTGACAAACATATATTGGATAAAGGATTTGTGTGAAGAATAAGTAAATAACCCTCAAATCCAAATAATAATACAAAAAACTCCAAATCAATAAAAATTGGCAAATTACTTGAACACCAAAGAAGATATGCAGAGGACAAATAAGCAGATGAAAAGATGTTCAACATCAATCAATAGTAAATGCAAATTAAACCTACAATGAGATACCACTACACACTGTAAGAACTGCTAAAAATTAAAGGCCTAATAATATCAAGTGTTGGTGAGGATGTGGAAAACTGGAATTGTCATACATTGTTGGTGGGAATATAAAATGATACAATGGCAATTTCTTAAAATGTTATACATATATTTACCATTCAATCTAGTAATTGCACTGCTATTTATATCTCCAAAATGAAAGCCTATATACATACAAAATCTTATACAAAAATGTTTACATTTATAATAATCAAAAGCTGGAAAGAATAAGTCAACAGGTAAATGGATTTAAAAAAAATGTAGTTTTTCAACTGGTGAATGGATAAGCAAATTGTAGTAGGTCCATACAGCAGAATAAACTCAACAATAAAAGAGTGAATTATAGATATATATATAATACGGATGCATCTCAAAATAATTATGAATGAAAGAAGTCAGATAGCAAGAGTACATTCTGTATTATTTCATTTACATAAGATTCTAGAAAATGTAAATTAATCTATTCTGGCTGTTGCCTGAGGAAGGCAGGGGAGAAGAGGTAAGGAATAGAGAGGAATTACAAAGGATCATGAGAAAGTTTCTGGGAGCTTGGGGTATATTCACTATCCTAATGATGATAATTATTTCATGTGTATATACATATGTCTAGAGTTGTCAAATTGTACTTTATGTAAATATTTTATGTCATTTATGTCAACAATGAATCTGTTAGAAAATGACAAAATAAGACAACAAGAACAGTACCTAAAGCTTAAGGTTATTTTGAACACAGAAAAGGTAAATATGTATAATAACACATTTCCTGTCCCATAATAAGCATTTATTAAGGTATAGTTATTGCTAATATTGTGAACCTTTCTGTGGATACATATATCCACAGTCTCTTTGGGTTGTGGAATACTATATTTAACCCTCTGTTTCATGAAGGTTTGAAGACTATGTTGGAAATCTCTGTTGTAACAAAAGCTAATGGACTTCTGGAACCACTTCAAAATTGAAGATATGTAAAAGAAAATGTAACAAAAATTCAAAAGGTAATGTCCCAAGTCTGGTTTTGGTTCCTTACTCGAGAAAACTTGCTGCATTTTGTGTCCTCTGTTGTTAAGCATTTCAGTGGGTATAAAACTTCCCAAATTCTTTGGGTATAATACCTGGTTTAAATGCGCAACTGCCAAATAAGTTGTCTTAGGTTGGGTTTCCCTAGCAACCGAAGTGGAGACATGGATTTGAGTCCAAATACTTTGAGTGATATTCGGAACATTGCTAGTTATTAGAAGTGATCTCAGGAAACACTAGTAGTGGGGTAGAAAAATAAGATAAGGAAGGAAAGTCAGGCAATAAAGGCTACATTATAAAGCAGTTCCTACTGTGGGCAACTGCTGCTTAAATGTGTGTAGGTGGGAGGGGAGACTCTGGGAGACAATGTAGAATATACATTGAAGTTACACCAACAGAGATGAAGGGAGATGGTGTATCTATCTTCCAACTTCTACTCCAACATTGGTTGAAGCTTGGATAAAGAACATTATCCCTCCTCCAGCATTTCTGGTTTGCCCTGAACATAGGTCAGAATTAAAGCTCACAGGCAGAGAGCAGCAGGTGTTTGAAATAAGCAGCCTTCATAGTGCAGGGATGAGTCCCAAGGGATAAGGGCAGGCTATCAATAGCCTCAGATTCACAAATCATCCATGAGTGCAGTATTTTTTCAATTGCCTTTGCCAGTTAAATTATCTTCAGAGTCTATTTCAGCTGACCAGTGTTTCACAGCTGCTAGTAAATGGATTGCTTCACCACATTTGGGTGTATGACTTCAATTTGTTAGCAGTGCAGTTGGGAAATGCTGTGGGATTTCAAGATGCAGTGCAGCTGTCTCATGCTTGTTATTAATGGAGAGCTTGTTATTAATGTTATGAGTTTATGGATTATCATTGTGCAGATTTTCTTCCTAAAAAAGCCAAATCACTGACATGACTATACAATTTGTTAGATGTATTTTATCTTTTTTTAAAAAAGAAATATTTGTGGGTATTTATTACAACTACAGAGACAATCCATTTTTCACTTTTTATCATGGCTTCAGAGCACATTTATGTTGACATTTTACATTTCAATTTTCTGAGATTACATGTTGTTACACGGGAAACTCAGCTATAGAAAGACGAGTTAGACCAAGAATGATGATCTTCTAAACGACATACTTTTCCTTTCCCATCAATTTTAATAGATAATATAATTTTTCTTATCACAAATGAGAAGCCAACATGAATGACAGTTGATCATGGAGACATAAAAGTTCATCATTATTAACAGACTATTACAGGGGAAATTTCCAGAGTCAACCGAAAATTGTGTTAAGATGTTTACAGCATGGGAGATGTGCAAGTCTTACTTGACCGTCTCTAAGCAGGAAATTACAGGGGTCTCAAACATCTAACAGGGCATAAATTCAGTTGATTTCAATCTCTTCCTATGCCAACATTCT
Source organism: Homo sapiens (assembly GCF_000001405.40). Classification (NCBI taxonomy): domain Eukaryota; kingdom Metazoa; phylum Chordata; class Mammalia; order Primates; family Hominidae; genus Homo; species Homo sapiens. The sequence goes on along the minus strand of NC_000020.11, from coordinate 8,082,440 downwards.
GTGAGTCCTACAACAGCTACAAAATGTTCTGCTGGGAGGTGGCCTGTATTAGTTATATTTGATGAACAACAAATTACCCAAAACTTAGCAGCTTGTCAAAGCAATAAATTATTTATGATCTCACAGATTCTTTGGGTCAGGAATTTGGGTGTGGCTTTGCTGGGTCTTCTGTCTGGAAGTTTCTCACAAGGCTGCAATCAAACTAATGCTGCAGCCAGCTCAAACCTCCACTAGGGGCAAATTCACTCTCATGTTTGTTAACAGTATTCATGCCCTCATTAGCTGGTAGACTGAGTCCTCCTTGAGTCCCTTTCCATAGGGGCCTTCTATCACTCAGTTTACAACATAGCAGTTGGCTTGCATTCATTATCACCTAAAGAGAGAGCCAGAGAGAACAGGCAAGATGGAAAACAGTCTTTTATAACCTAATCGTAGAAGTGACATCTCATCACTTTCGCCGTATCCTGTTTGTCAGAAGTCCAGGCTACATTTCAGAAAAGGGGATGACATGAACAGAGGAAAGCCCAGAGGTGGGGATCATTGGAAATCATTTTAGAGGCTACCGCAAGACCTAAAGCTTACCCAGAGACAAAAGCATCTCTCCTCCCAGGCTACCCCAGAAACAGAAATTCTCATACACTTTTGAGCAAAGAGATTTTTGTCTCTTGACTCTTCAGCAACTCATGTTACATGCAAATGTATTTTACAGGAGAGGTAGGTTCAAGAGCAGCCATGATGATCTGTGCTTGAGGGTTATCTTTAGATTCATTATATATGTGGCAGAGGCTATTTAATTTTTCCTTGGGAGTTGAGAAATAGAGAAGAATATTTTGTATTTCTGGAGTGTCCAAAATACCAAAAGGCACTAATATAGAGAAAAGGTCAGCCCAAGGATACTGAGCATCTTTGGGAGAAGAGAAAAATGTAAAGAAAAGTTAAGGTAAAGAAGACAGATTTTTGTCTAGAGAAGTCTTATCTTCAAGGTTTCCAGGACCACTGGTTCATTGAAGTTACACATTGACCATGTTCTTCTGCTGAAAAGTTTTCTTTTGATTTCCCTTGATGTAGATAAGATACAAACTATTTAGCTATTTAAGGACCTCTAAAAGCTCTCTCTATACTACTTTTTTCCGTCTATTCTCTAATGACACATCCTTTTCTTTTTTTCAGTAAAACTAATGAAATTCCCCTGATCAAGAATGCCATGCTTTTGTATCCAATCATTTGTATACTTATAACTAGAGTAGAGTTTAGACCAATCTGTCCACAGCACAAAGACCTGGTCCCTCAGGTTGGCATGGTTTTTGTTGTTTATTTTATTAATATTAAAATTAACGCTGTACTATCTTGAAGCCTTTCATTTATTAGGCCCTTTGACTATTTATATCATATCCTTTTGATTGTTGCTGTCTCATTTCCTCAGATTGATTTCAAATTTTTTGAGGAAAAAGGACTTGCCATGTACTTTTTCTATAGTTTCAGAGTTTTGCATAGTGATCACCTCTGATGTGAAGTTTAGAAATAAGTAAGTTAGGCCAGGCGCGGTGGTTCACGCCTATAATCCCAGCACTTTGGGAGGCCGAGGCAGGCAGATCACGAGGTCAGGAGTTCGAGACAAGCCTGACCACCATGGTGAAATCCCATCTCTACTAAAACTACAAAAATTAGCCAGGTGTGGTGACACATGCCTGTAATCCCAGCTATTCAGGAGGCTGAGGTAGGAGAATTACTTGAACCCGGGAGGCGGAAGTTTCAGTGAGCCGAAGTCACACCACTGCTCTCCAGTCTGGGCAACACAGCGAGACTCTGTCTCAAAGAAAAAAAAAACACCAGATACCTTATCTTGGTGAAGATAAAATGGATGAGATCTTTATATAAGAGAATGTCAACATTTTTTTAAGTTTGACACCCTGCAGTTCAGCTACATCATACCTGTCGGTTGTGTGGTGCTCTCTGGCCCACCACCCCTTACAGACATAACAGCGATGAGTGCAGGGCCTTAGTCTATTTTGCTAATTGCTCTCTCCCAAGGCTTAGAATAGTGGGATTGGCACATAATAGACATGCAGTAAACAGTAAACATTATTAAATGAATGAAGAGCATAATTATTGCCAATAATAGTTGAATTTCTAATATTTGTAAGTGGTATAATTTTATAAATTTAAATGGGAGAAATTGGTCAAGAGTACATGTGCATCTATGAGAATTTCATATGTAAATGAGGTGGCATTTCCTATCAGCAAGAGAATAAACTAGTCACTAAATGATATTGGGCAACAGATTTTCCATCTGGAAACAATAAAATTCAAACCCTACCTTCCACCCACCACTTACAAAAAATAATTCCAGATGGATTAAAATCAACATATATAAAAAAAACTTTAACAAAAATGAGAGTATGTTTGTGGCTTTGAAAAGGTCTGACAATGCTATAAAGAAAAAGTCTGACAAATTTAAATCATAATTTTAAGGTTTTATATTATAAAATATGTGATTATTGAAATTAAAAGACAAACCATAAAACAGGGAAATCATTTATAACACAAATTAAATAGATATTCAAGATATATAAGTAATTTCTTCAATTTGACAAGAAAATACTTTCACCAAATATAGGTAAAAGATAGACAAAAATAATACTATAACAATAATAATTGCATTTATTTGAATTTCATAAATTGGAAATTTAAGGTAAGAAATGCAACTGACCAATAACTATACGGAAAATATGCTCAACTGCACTTGTTACCCAGGGAACTGAAAATTTGAACAAAATTTGATGCAATAATTTGCATCAACTTGGCAAAAAATTAAAACTTTGTCAGTCTCAAGTGTTGGCAAGGATGAGAGATACATTAACTTTCATGCATGACTGCTGGGAATAATTTAGTGCAGCTATTTTGAAGGAGAATTTCACAGAATTCCTTTAAAATTAGAATTAAAATATGTAGTTCCTTTGAACAATTCTACTTCTGGTTATGCTAGAAAAACCTGAAACATGTGCAAAGAGGCACAAAAAGGGAATATTTGAATAAAATCTGTTAAATATACTCTATGGAAAACCTATTCAGCAATTTTAAAGAAATTGGTAGTTCTCTATGCTCTGACAAGGAAAGATGTCTAAAATCTTTCTAAGTGACCTGTACAGTGATAAAACCTATGAAATAATTCATATATCAAAAATCCCTGTATATTTATATTTTGATAAGCTCTTCACTTGAATGTTATAGACAGGACATTAATGGGGAGGAAATGCAAATAGCCAAACTATATGGAAAAAATGTTTAACCATATGTTTTACATATAGTTTATAAGTATATGAATGCATACACACACATCCATACACAGTCACATACAATGTATATGCACGGCAAAAGGAATAAAAAGATATAGTATGAAGGGTATGGGTTTGGTGATCACTCAAAAACTCTTTAGTTTTATTTGCTATTTTAGGAACAAAATTTGCCAATAGAATCTACATATGAATTCATGTAATAAAAATAAATAATATAAAACTTATCTAAAAGCCATAGGGGGAATATAAATGAATAATTAACTGGAAGCACTAGTTCTACCTAACAAATTGAAAAATCCCTATTGCTCGTTTTCCTCCTACACATTTCCATGGGTGATCCAACAGGCATTTCCAGAAAGCAGGAAAGATATGGACACTCATGACGTCAGATTTTGCTCCCAGCATTTAAGGTTGTTGATAAGAGAGTTCAGGATTCTGACTTTAGTCGGTGATTTCCTGGGGAGAGGCAGACACAGGAAGGCAGCCACTTGACTTTTCTGAGAGCCAAAGGGAGTTCATGACCAGTGTCCTCCAGCAGAACACATCTTGTCCAGTAATTAACTAGAAAATTGACCATTTTCAGAAATAGACAGGAATGCGGTCCTTTCAATTGAATATCTATTTTCAAAAACGTTTTATAATAAACAAGTGTCCTTCCAAACAATGACAAAAATTCATCCTGTGTAATGACTCAATGCCCAATATTCCTGTTATTTACTAGAATAAACATATAAAACAAATGTTTACAGAGTAAATGATTAGCTTTCTTTACATCCTGAGAAATACCCATATTAAGTTTAGAGACACCAACATGAAATACTAAACCTTGTGTCCACATCCCTTCTAAAAATGTAGACCAGACCTCCTGTTTAGCATCCTAAAGGTTATTGCTTTTCCTGACCATATTAGGTTGTCCATGTTTGGCTGACTTCAGGTATTATATAATCACTTTTTGCCAAGTATATTACTAATTATTAGGAAGTGATGTATACCCATTCCCAACTCCTTAAGTGAGTAAAATCAATTCCTTAAATGCTGAAAAATAATTATGTTTTATGGCTTGCATTCTTTTGTAATGTCTCATGCTTTCTAAAAGTGTTAGGCATATGCTTTTAAATATACGGTTCTGCTTTAGGCCTTCAAAATAATGATAATAGATTCTTTCCACATTTCAAGGGTCACTCCAGTGAGTGGGAAGAAAAGTTATGTCCTTCTAATATTGTTAAAGAATTAAGCCCTTTTCTATCTCTGGAATCTAGATAGGAAATTCATTCCTTCTCTCTCTCTCTCTCTCTCTCTCTCTCTCTCTCTCTGCCATTCTTTTACTCTGCTTCTGTCTTTTTTACTTGAGGTCTGAGTATAAATCTCAGAAATTGGTATCACCCTATGTTTCAAATTATTGAAAGTGAAATGATATGCTAACACTCAGTTGTTTCTATAAGTATCAAACCTGGCTCAGAGTGAAATCATTAATGGCAACAATGTGGGAGAGATTATTTAATAATCTTTCTAGTGCTGAATGTAGACATCATTTGAAAGAATCCTTTATCAATTCATAATTATCCATATGGAGAATTTCCAAAAATGTAATTTAAACAAGGTACTAATGAGGATGTTGAGTAGTGAGACAGGTATCACTGTTCAACATGCATCTATGCCTTTTCTCTAAAATGCCTCTTCTAATTGACATGCATAAAATTTACCAGGGTAGAAGATATAAAACTTACAGTTCAGGATAAAGAAAATATGTTTCAGCAAAGGGCCTGCTGGCCATTTATAACTTTGGCAAAATCACAGTCATCTGAGTTATATCAAAAGAAAAAGCCAGGAGCTGACTCACCTTAGTTATCTTTTCCAAGTACGCAATAGGCCTGCTTCTGATAAATTCCGTCCTGGAACTTTTATTTAAAGCATCTCTGAAGGCTTAAAAACTGCTTTGGCCTTGTGAATTGCAAACAACTTCTCCATGTTCTCTGAGTTCTGATGATGAATAACATGTGTGTATATTTATGCAAAATTACAAAAAATGTACTGATGCCAAAATGCTCATTTTTTCCTATAGCTGTTCCTGCCTTAAAACCACACAGGTGCTTAAGAACTGAAACCATATCATGTTTGTCTTCGTGTTCTTTTGATATAACTCAGCACTGGGCACTGTACCTGGCACGAGGTGGGTACTGAGCAAAGGGCTGTTCATGAAAGGATTAAGGCTGAATTTGTATTATTCATATGTATTTATATGTGTGTGTGTGTGTGTGTGTGTGTTATTAATTGCCATGTGTGTATTTGTAGTGAATGAAGTATGGACTGAGATTTATGTGTGGAAATGTGGGACCACATCTACAATGGAACTAACTTGTATTCATCCTGAATGAAGCCTTTCAATCCTCTGAAAATTATACACTTAACCTCAAAGAGCCTGTCACTTGGTTTTCTCTGCCTGTCCAATGACTGGGATAATAAAAATGGTTTTTTAATGTGTGTTTTAAATACTTATCATTTAGGCAAAGTTGTAATGTCAAAGGAAGGTGCTGTGAGCAGGTAATTGCTTGATTGTCAGAGCTAGTCTCAGATAGAGGAGGCAGGTTAATTTATACGAGATACTCTGGATCTCCTGGGAAGCAGGAATCTAAATGCTTCCTGCTAAATGAGAGATTTGTAAGGCTGAAACCACAGTGACAGCCACAAAGATCCAGGAGCAGCAGAGAGCTACAGATAACTTGAAATAAACTTATAAGTCCAGAGATTAGTTGATCCAAATATCAGATCCAATATTTGAGTTTAGCAGAGCAATCCATGGAGGAGTCTAGTGTTTCTGAAGTAAGAATTATTTAAATAGTAAAACTAGGTCTGCCTCAAGCCAAAGAATTTTACTGTGTATGAACTGAAAGGCCTGGGCACAGAGAATTCTAATAGCCAGGATTTATGTCTCTTCTCATTGGTCCTAACAACCCAAGGATGTTTTCAGCTATGGTTTTGATGGTAGCTAGTGTCTCTCCTTGCCAGGTGTCTAAACAGCAATGATCCTTTCACTAGTGTGGATAGCATCTCACCTGCCTGTAGGACACCCTTCCATAGAAGAGTATCAGTGAAAGGTATGGTGGCCCCTAGAAGTTCTGTTCCACTGCAGTCTTAATCTCCATCAAAGGGCTACCAACAGCAAATTGTGTCTCTCTACCATTCTGGGACCCAATAGAACCTGGAAAATATCCAAGTAAGGGGCTAAAAGAACACAGATCTATCCCTCAGAGGGTCAATTTGACCTTGAGGAGAATCTAGCACAAAGCAAGGTGCTACCCCACCATCCAGAGTTGCTTCAAAATTAGGACATGGCAACCTCAACTGGCAGCTGAAAACCCTCCAATGCTGTAAGGCCAAAGTGGACAGGACTGCTGTCTCTTATATTTGTGATTCCTGGTCTCTATTGGAGTAGACTAGAACTGTGGAGGGGAGTGAACTCACCTGCAGGACTTCCATTATTCACATCAGGAAATAAAATATGTTAATTTGGGGACTGCCTGGAGTGTTATTTGCCCACAAATAATATAAAGTTGCCGATTTAAAAACAATGTGGTGGTTTCCAAAGTTGACCAACTTAGTAAATCTTATTACAAGAGCTACAAGGAAAACCGACAGTTTTTAAGTATTACGGTAGATTGGCTATGTTAATGTCCCCATTTTTTCACACCTCCTGGCAACTATATACTGTAATAGTGCTACCCTGTACTGATTCTTTCCTTGAACCAGTGGCTTGACTCAAGCAAGCTTTGAAAAAGCACTTGGGTATTTCTACTTTCTTTCTCGGACCCCTGGCATCACCATAAGAATGTGTTTGGGTTAACCTGAAGGAGGATGAGAAATATATGGACTGGATCCAGATGGTCCTGTTGAAGCCGTGCTAAATCATCCAGTCCCAGCCAAACCCAAAGTTGACATCAGATACATGAATGAGCCTGGCCAAGATCAGCAGAACCACTAAGCTGAATCATACACCCGTGAAAAATAATAAGTTGTTGTTTTAAACCACTGAGATTTGACGTAGTTTGTTACACAATGGCAAATGAAAAATCATACAATCAGATTATAGCAATGATATGTAAAGTTGTGAGTTAAAGAGAGCTGATTGTGAGGAATATTTATCTCCAAATCCTTTAGTGTGGAAAGAAGGCTACATTAGTGTTGAAACAGCAAATACACATACACCACTTTTCCAGTCTTACATCATGGCGATACGTGATAAGACTTTCAAGCAAGGAAATTTCTTCATTGACATTTTCACTCACAGCAGTCAGAAACCTTGTCATATATGTATTTCAGCCATTTTCTGGAAATCTCTTTTCAATGGCACTCTTGGGCATCACTCATGCAATGAGGAAATAATTGCCACACAATAATTTTATCTTTAATATTTTTGTTTTTAATTTATTTTATTTTGAAAATTAATATCTCCCCCAAAAGGCAAGGATAACAAACATCTCTGTACCACCACCCAAAATTTGAACAAGCTTATATTTTGTATAGATAAATATAATTAATATAGATAAAATATAATCCTTTGAAAGAATAAAATAAAAATGATAAAAACAGATATAAAAATAAAATAAAAAAATTTGGATTTCCCCCAGGATCACTCTTTTCTTTTCTTTCCCAAGGTGATGACCCTGATGAATTTGGTTGGTTTTTGAATAATAATAATAATAATAAAGATCTTATGATATATCGTCACAGTATTTAATTCATATTATTTTTTAATTTTTTAATTACATAAATAATGTCATATCATGTATTATGTTATTTAATTTATTTTTTTCAATGTCCTTTTTTGAGATCTATATAAATATTACAGATCCAATGTATTTGTTGTAATTGCTGTATGTTACGGCTAAGCATGTCTAATGTCTAGATCATTCTACTATTGATGTGCATTTGAGTCGTTTCCTATTTTTCACTATTGCAAAAAAAGTCAGAATAAATATCCTTGCTCATATCTTCTTAAGCATATACCTAGAAATGAAAATGCTGGGTCATAATTGTGCATCTTTTAATTTTTACAAAATAGTGCTAACTTGCTTCACAGAACAGTTGGGACAATTTACACTTTACCAACAGTGTCTGTCAATTCTCATTTCTACATATTCAGAACACACTTGACTTTATCAAACTGTTTAAAATTTTGTCTAATTAGACAGATATGAAATATTATTTGTTCTTTAAGTTTCATTTCCCTGAATGCTAGTGAGGATAACCATTGTTTCATGTTTATTGTCAACGCAAGATTCTATTTTATGAATTGCCTGATCATTTCATTTGCCCATTTTTCTATTGAGTTGTTTTATGTTGTAATAACTTGTAGAAGTTTCTTATGTAATCTTAAGTCAAAGGTTTAACTTTGACTGTAATATGTGTTGTAATGCCTCGTTCCACTCTGACTCATACCTATCTGCTCATGGCCTCTATAGGAGTTATCTACTGCTGTGAAGCAAATTATCACAAGTGTAGCAGCTTAAAACTACACACATTTATTATCTGACATTTCCTGTGGGTCAGGAATCTGACTTGGCCTAGCTGTGGCCTCCCCTGCTTCAGGGTGTTTCACAAGGCTGCAATCAGGGTATTACTCAGGGCTGGGGCTAAACCAAAGGATCAACTGAGGAAGGATCAGCTTCCAAGTTCACTTATGTGGTTTTGGTAGTATTGAATGCTGAATCGAGGGCCTTACTTCCTGCCTGGCTGTTAGCAAGGCAACAAGGTAACTTGCTTCAGTGAAGTAAGCAAGGGAGAAAGTGTGCTAGCAAGATGGTAATCAGAATCTTTTGTAATCTAATCACGGAAATGACATGACCTCGATGTGGAGGTATTCTGTTTGTTAGAAGCAAGTTTTACTCCAGAGGGGATTATCTAAAGTCACGAATACCAAGAGAAAGAGATAATAGGGGCACATCATAGAACTTGCCTATTGCAGTTTCTTGTATGTACAGAGCTTTTAATTATGATGCAATTCAATATATCAGTTTTTTGTTATGATAATCTCTGTTTATTGTTTTAATTTTTTCTTTATCTCTTTTTTCAAAAATCATTCTGTATTCTGAGGTAGTTAAGATACTAGGCTAGACTTTTATAGTTTTACTTTGTTTTAAAGCTAATCTTTATCAAGTTTTGTTTTATTTCATGATATGAATTACAAGTTATCCTGTTTCATACAGAAAACCAAATATCCCAGCAGCATTCTGCCCCCACAAACTTGAAGTCTCTTTACTTTCATGTATCAATGCCCCATACATGATTTTATTTCTTTTTTTGCTTTTGGTGTCTTTCTCTGTTTGAGCACCATTGTTATCTTATCTTTTAAAAATACATTCTCTTAATTATTACAGGTATATCATGAATCTTGGTAACTGGTAGGCAAATTACCCCTCCTTCTTCTACTTTTAAAAAATAGTTTTGGGGCCCAGTGCAATGGCTCATGTCTGTAATCCCAGCAGGGAGGCTGAAACGGGTGTATCACTTGAAGTCAGGAGTTCAAGACCAGCATGGCCAACATGATGAAACCCCATCTATACCAAAAACTACAAAAATTAGCTGGGTATGGTGGCATGTGCCTGTGGTCTCAGCTACTTGGGAGGCTGAGGTGGGAGAGTCACCTGAACGCTTGAACTCGGAAGGCAGAGGTTGCAGTGAGCTGAGATTGTGCCACTGCACTCTAGCCTGGGACAGAGTGAGACACTGTCTCAAAAAAAAACAAAAAAAAAGGGAATGGTGTCTTGGTTACTCTTGTAGTTTTTCTCTTCCCTAATTCTAGAATGAGTTTGTCAAGTTCTTTGATAAATTTTGTCAAATATATTCCCTATTATGGATAGAATGGAGAGAAATGCCATCTTTTATATTGAATTCTTTCACCCAGGTTAGGATATACCTCACCATTTATTCAGGCCTTTCTTTTGTTCCTTTACCAACTTGTTTAAATAATTTTTCCCCCAAAAGGACTTACACAGCTTTTTCACATTTATTCTTAGGTACTTAACAGATTTTGTTACTACTCTAAATTATGTCTTTTTATATAAAATTGGTCCCAATGCTCTGTTTGGGCAAGTCTGAATTCTTACAAATTGGATTATGAAAATGGAAAAAAGACATTGCCTGTGTATCAGCTCTCTTCAGTTTAGCCCAATCTTCTGACATGGCAAGACTTGATTCAACATTATTTCTCCTATATTAACATAATAGAAACAGATATAAATTGTTCCATGAAAATGTGAGTACAAGGAGTATCATTTTAATTTCTTGCTAAAATTAAATTAGAATTTGTTTTAAGTCTTCTCCCATGGAGATCCAATGTGAAATTCCTGTGACTTCAAGCTGTCTTCACATCACAGCATTGATGAATTTGGTTGAAAGAATTTGGTAATCCATAAAGTGGATTTCAGACTTACACTCCTGGTGGGTAGGAATTGTGGTGACTTAAGCTCTAACTTGGCTCTTGCTACTGTTTTTCCTTGATGCAAAATGCATCCATTTTTGAGATCTCCTCCATTCTTTCTGCTGAGACATGCTGTGACTAGGATCATTTTGGGCCAGCAAGGATCTATTACTCTGTTTATATTCATATTGAATATTGAATACATGACCTCTTAATCTGGGACCTCCAATGATTCCACCCATGGAAGCCAGCCCTGCTCCTCAAAGGCCCTGTCACCATGGAAGTGATGAACTGCATGTACCTACCTTTTACAAAATTTAAAACATCTTTTCTTATCTATTCTAGTAAGACATGGAGAATTGATTACTTTCTTTTTTGGTCCTCTGAGAGTTCATTAGAATCCCAGCAAACTTCAAAGCATGATTCAATAGCCCAACTGAACACACCTGCCTTTAGATATGCTAAAGACATTTCCACCTTTCCAGAAGGCGGCACTGTCCTGATGATTCACATTTTTAGCTTGTGGCCCCTCACCCCCGGAGCCAAGTGTAAATTGGGACCTCCCTGCTACAGCACGTGCACTCTCACACATGCACACACAAGTTCACAAACTGAGGATCACTGTGTCTTCTCTTAGTTTTATTTTTCCCTATTTCCACCCATGATAAGAGATTTAAAACATTTTAGAAAGAGAACTTTAAAATAGTCAAAGTTAGCATGAAATTTGAGAGAGGTAGAACAGAGTCTAAAGATAGCTTATGCTTGTGGAAGATTCCTTTTACTTCTACCCAGAGATGCCTATGCAGACTCTCCTCTTCTATTTGAAAAGCTTTTGTGAAATATTGGGAATCACTGGCAACAATGATTTTATGTTCTTGTTTTAAAACCTCAAAACCAAGCCAAGTAAGGTATTGTTTATTTTTTTTTTACAGATGAAGAAATTGAGGCTTTAAAATTATTAACAAACTTTGCAGAGCCAGTTAGCTTTAAAGAGCAAAATCAGGATGTCAACCCATGTGTCCCTAACCCCAATGTCCGTGCTAAAAGCCATTATGTTATGATGTTTCTTTTCTCATGTATACTGAATTGTGGAGCATTAATATGTTAAAAACAATAGTATGTTTATGAATTAGGACCTTAGTTTTACATAAACGGATTAATTACAACCCTGAGTTTGTGATACTCTCATATATAACATGCTTTTGTGGTTTTATTTTGTTATTTAATTTATTATCTTAAATAATATACACTCATCAGCCAACTGTCCAACAAAAAAGCTAAAATTTTGATAACAACCTACGTAAATATGGTTCCTTCCCGTCCCATTCTTACCACTTATCGCTGTAGATAACCATCATCCTGAATCCTATATTCATAATTTTTCTTGGTTTTCTTTTCCTGATTCTAGATATGTATCTATATTTTCTAAATTTTAAAAACCTTTAAGACTTTAATTTGACAGGAGTTTATTTTTTAATATGATGTGGAATATAAAATCCAACTGCATTGTTTTCCAAATTGCTAACCACTTTCTGTAGTTCTGTGAGTATTATTGAACAGTCTATCCATTTCTCTTCTGCTATGAACCAAAGTTCATTATTTACTGGGAACTGTGCTTCTGTCAATTCCTTTGATTAATATTTATCCCACTATCCCATTACCTTCCTGTCCTAAATTCCATTTTTTAAATAATATGTCTGGATTCCTGATACAGCTCATCTTCTCTTTTTGCTTACTTCTTCAAAAGGATTCTGACTATTCCTGGCCTATTATATTTCCCTGTTAAAATTGTACCATTATCTTGTCAATTTCCAAGTAGAATTCTGTTGGTATGTTGATTGGAAATGCATGGACTCTGTAAGTGAATTGGGGAAAAAATAGAATACTTATAATATTACTCTTCTTAATCTTGAAAATCTTCATTTATTTATGTCTTCTTTAATATCTATGAATATAACTTTATAATTTCTCCATTGAGGTCATGCATATCTTCTATTAGATTTATTCTCTTATAAGATGTGGTATATTTTTCTTCATGTTGTCTAATAGTTTGCACTATTATTAATATAAAAATATATAAATGACTTTTTATTATTAATCTCATAACTAACCAACTTAATAAATTCTATTAAATCTAATAATCTGTCTGTGAGTTCACAATGCTTTCCATGTCAACAACCATCCCGTGCAACTAATGAGAGATGTACTGTAATTCCTGCTTCAAATTCTTATGTTTCTCATTTCTTTCTCTTCTCTTATTATACTGGCCAAGACTTCTAATACAATAAGTAAAAGTAATGATAGAAGAAGTCCTCAGAATTAATTTTGAAAATAATATTTTAAATGTTTCTCCATTTAGAATGGTGTTTGATCTAGGGTTTTTAAAAAATTGTCAGAACTTAAAATTTCTTTCTACTCTGACTTTTTTGTATTTAGTATCACCCTTCTTGGGGATAATACAATTTTGTATTTAGTATCACCCTTCTTGGGGATTTACAATGTGCGTTAATACTAGTAAGAAGTCCTACAGTAGAAACATGCGTATTTAATTCTGTTTCCCTTTTTAGTTTAGAGGTTTTCTTTCTTCTGCAAATTGTCTTGTTGAAAGTGCAGGGAAATGCTGAGTTAATGGGAACAGAAAACTTTAAAAAGAAAAAAAGAATTACTTTGACTTTTATGGATTGAATTTCTATTTTTGGTGCTATGGGCAACACTTCATCAATGGGGTCACACGGTAGATTTGCCTTGTTTAGCTTAGGCAGCAAATCCTGGAATTCAGTGTTAACAGTGGTACCCATTGTGTAGCAAGTTTATTTTTTACCATTAATCTTGATCAGAGATCATCAAACTATGGCTGGCTCACAGCGTGGGGCAAATTCAGCCCTTTTTGCAATAAGACGGCCACACTGGGTTTTCTATTTTACCAAGACAGCTGGCTAATGTAGCAAAACTAACCTCAAATATTAATTGGCATTATGACTAGTGCTATCATGACCCCGTGTATATGTAGTAGGTGCTGTTGCTGTCCCCAACTCCAGAAGCCTTTGGCTAACCTTTACAAGTTTTATGTCCCTACTTCTCTGCTTTTATGTGCTTCACTCCTAACAACTCACACCTATAACCTTCTTGAAAGGACCACCATAAGGCTATTTCATCAGGTTCTTAAGGTGTCAGAAATACTTAGGTTTTCACGTCTCCCTAGAGGCAATCTGTAGCCAATAACTGACTGCCACTGGAGTAAAAACAAACAAACAAACAAACAAAACAACTCCGCTTCCTTTGTCTTGAAGCGGGGCCAACTCCACCATACAACTTAAGCTTTAGAGGTACCCTTGGGATCAGGGTACCTTCAAGTGAAGGTTGGCACTTCACTTGAAATTATACCTTTGCTTAACTTCCTCCCCTTCCCTACTCTCTTTCTGCCTCTTCCTAACCAGTTTCTTCTGGGAACACCCACTTAATAAATCATTTGCACATGTACCCTGGTCTCACGGTTTGCTTCTGGAGAACACAATCTAAGACCCATGTTATATGTCAAGTACCACTAATAGGTTCAGTCCCAGTGTCTGGTTTGTTGGACTTCAATTATTTGTGGATTTTACGGCTTAATCTTAGGTGAATACCTTATCTTTGTGACCAACTGGTCTCCCTGTCACCAAGGGTACCAGGAGAGAAGTTCTATGAAATTGTTCCTATTTTAATGACTTTAACATTTTTCATTCTTTGATGAGTGTGTATTTACTACTAGACAAAGTTACCAGGGTTTATTAAGATTTTGACATTATTTAATCGGTAGATTTGGCACAACTTGACTATGGTATGTTGCTCCTTACAGAAAGTAAGTAACATCACTAAAAGATATGTACAATGTGTTGATGGCTTACATTTTTATCTCAGCCATTTATCTTTCATGAAATCTACGAGATATAGCCAAACAAACAATGGAAAAAGAAAAATAATGGGACTGGGTAAAAGTAAGAACTAGTGCCCCTTTTGATGATTAGTTAGATATTATCACAGTCATTTTCATTAACGTGAAAACTCTCATATGATCAGATGATGTTTTGCTTTCAAGATGGACCTTACATAATGAAAGGTTGAAAAGTAACTGAGTAGAAAGTTTCTGGAATGAGATTTCCCTCACTTGTTTGTTTCTCCCTAAATATATATAATTGGCCATAGGACAAAGACATAACAAATGACATGAAAAAAAATACTTCATGTATTTTCAAAGGCAATGTCTGTTTTGAATTTTTATTCTTTTCATAAATTTAACAGTGTACCATAAATTACGAATAACTGAAGCTAATCTAATGAAATTAAGACTGGCTTATTCTCTGTTCAAAGGAGTTACTGTAGCCCAGCGGGGCAGTACCTCATGTTCCCAATCTCTTCATCTCCTTTTCAAATTAACAGATGGTATCTTACATTCTTCCTGGACCTGTTTCTTTTTAGCTATCATATGATGGTTAATGACATCGTTTCTAGATCCAGAAATACAAGCTTCGGGAGAGTTTCGTAACTTCTCAATTTCATTATCTATGAAATGGAACTAGTAATAGCAACTTTAAAAATTGGACATCTGACAGACACTGCTCACTTCTAAAAGTAATTTGTTTAATTAGGTTATGCTGCATAAGAATTACTAATGTTTTAAAATTGTTTTTTTCATATCTTGATTTAATGTAGGCATTATATTTTACAGCTAAGGAGGATACCAGATCAATTTTTGACAGAAGTACTCTTGATGTTCCAGGGATAGAAAGGAAGTCGTTGTACTTTTTAATGTGTCATCTCTTCAGTCCTGCCTTTGAGGACAGGGTCATACTTTCTTATTTATCCTGGTTGTTTTAATGGGCGGTCCATTTTCCAGGTCTGTACATTACTCATTACTCTTGTATGTGCTTGTGATAAGGAAGCTGCAAGGAGCTAGAAACAAACTGACTTGGAAAGTGTGAATTGACTTGGTAAATAAACACAATTTGGGAATATAATTTTATGGGGTTAAAATTGGGAAAATTTTTAATTCATTGTATTTTGTCTTAATAAGGGCTTTCATTTTGAGAAAAACCACAGCAGCTTTGATTCTTGGACTAAAAGGCTATTTTCTTCCAGTTACGTAATTAGGAATCGAGAAGATAATTAACTACGACCAATGAATAAGCTTCTCATATATGACCCTGTAGTAGCTCCTGCCTTTACTTCTCCTGATTTTAACATGAGATGAGGGAATTATTGTTACTTCACAAAAAAAATATAAAAATAGGTGTTACTAAGCGTCCCTTGAGATCATTCTTATAAAATCAAATTTGTGATTCTTTCTGGAAATTTCGTGGCTGAAAGAGAGGGACTACAAAATGAGTCCTAAGTGAAAGACCAAGTGAAAATGGTCTTTCACTTATGCTAGTGGCTGTCTCTCATCACCAATTATGGAACACATCTCTGGTTATCATGTCCCATCTTAAGTTTTGTACTGCCTAGACAACAAAAGTAATGTAAATGGAATTGTATTTTTTCCAAATAAATCTCTCTACATTTAAAAAATCACTTTCAGTAGGCTCTAATTGTATTAGAATGAGCTAGAATGGAATATCATTGACCATAAAAGATAATGTTAGGCTAATTTGTTGGTGAAGGTAAAGTGGAGCCTTAAGCATCTCAAGAGAGAAAACTGGTACAAGTGTGGCTCAGGAGAGCTTTTATGTTTCAGTAGTTCTCTAGTCATTCCCATCACTTCTGTATATACACATGCATCATTTTCAGTGTTAGTCAAACATGACATGACTGGCTAACACAAAATCAATTACATGTATACCATATGTCTTCATTTGGGTTCCTGCATTAGCAGACTCCAATATAAGCATTTGGCTGCAAGAAGCTTATCTGGGAGGTGATCCAGGAGGTACCCATACGGAAGTGGGGAAGTGAGACATGGAGGAGAAGGGAGTCAATAAATGGTGTGCTATCCGGCAAGTAACCATTGTGAGTTTACTAAAAATCAATCTTGCTGGGGAACTCTAAGAGACAGTGTAGAACACACACCCAAGAGTTACCCCAATTGAGGAGCAAGGCATTTATTACATGCCAATTCCTTCAATCATAGATTGAGGATTCTCTCTGTGGGTATTATTTCCTTGTCATTTTCAGACCTCCATGTACATGGGCAGTGAAGCAGAAAGGACATCAGCAGCTTTGGATAACATTCTCCAGCAAAGCGATGCAGATACCTGCAGCTGAAAGTAGGCCAGTGGACACAGAAGCGATAAGATCTGAAGGTTGTAGACAGGGTACCGATGGCATCTACTCTATAATTCAAACAGTTCTGTCCTAGGCTGTCCTAGAATAAGTATAAATGAAATTACTATGTAGTTCACTAAAAATTTAATCCCATAAGACCTCTCTTATTAGTGATCCCAAAACTCTTTCAAGCACCTCTGTCACATAAAATTGTTGTAACATATTTTAACACTATGCTTTCTCTTCCCATTAGATTGTATATCACGTAAGAAAGTATATCTTATTCTAAAATTCCTTTGTATTTTGTTCCAGTTCCTACTTTTTAACTAGGAACCATAATTCCTATTTATCTGGAGTAGTCTTAATTTTTTCTATTTGCCCTAAAAACATTTCAAGACTTTGCAAAATCAGTGTATGAAACAAGAATGAGCCACAACTTACTCCAGAAGTCATTTTCAAAATTGCATGCATCAGTGTCCATTAACATCTTAACTCTTTCCACCTCAGCTTATATCATTATTAAAGAAATTCCATGCAGTGGGGATGCTCTGGTTAGGGCTAATAAATACTTTGAGCATAAGTAGTAGCAAATTTATATAGCTGAACACAAGTTCCCCTTTGGATATCAGCTATCCTGAGAAAAGGCATACCTCTGTTTGCAAATTTTTAAGACTCCTGTTGCCTACAAATAAAATCCAGACTCCTTAGCTAAGCATTCCAAAAAAATTAAACTCTCACTTGAGTCTGTGTTGGAAATCTTGTTCTCAAGATTTTTCACTACCCTAACCTAAGGCTGGAGTCAAATTGGTGTCTCTTTTGTCACCTGGCTTGGCTGACTGCTTTCTGACCTGCTTTCTGTGTCTTTGCTCCACTAAATCTATAGAAATTTTCTCACATCGAATCCTTTCTTCAAAATCCTACTCAAATTATATTTACTTTGAAAATTTTTTCACAAACCCACCACAGATTGAATTTATCCTGATTCTACTCTTAAATCCCAAGTGAATGTATCCCTTCCTTAAGCAAACAAAGCTTGTAGTTCGCATTTCCGTCGCTTTGGTAGAGAGATTTCATCAAAGGCCCCAGTGCTTTGCCCCCTTCAGTACCCATGCTCTTTGCCTTGTTAATCTTGCTGTATCTTCTTATTCTGACACTGGACATGACCGTGTCACTTGATTTGACCAATGGGATGTTAGTCAAAGTGACATAAGTAGAAAAATTCCTGCTGACAGATGAAATATGCCAAAGTTTTGTCAACCCAGGGCGTCTGGCAACTGCCAGCTCCCTTCTGCCCTCTGCCCCAATCCATATAAGCAGACCCCACCAAGACCCACAGAGCAACCTTAGCAACCCATAGCTGACCTCAGACACAGGAACAAGCCCAGGTGGGAGCAAGTGAGTCCAGCCAAGATCATCAAAACCATGAACTTGTGAACTAAATAAATGTTTCTAGTTGTACGCCACCAAGGTTTTATGATTATCATAATGCAGCATTGTCTGGCAATAAACAACTGATGAACCTACCAAACTCTAAGTGTCTTCAGGCCACAGCCATACGTGTTTACTATTGTTCCCACAGAAGATTGAGAATTTCCTTGCGTACATAAGGTACTTTTAGGAAGTTTGTGGAATGAATGAATGTTTTTCCACTTTAGAATATTATTTCATTCTTTACTTTCCCATAAAACCCTCCCTGCGTGCCTAACCTCAAGTAATTTATCTCCTTTAAATTTTCATTTTATGTATTGTCTATGCCAGCTATTTGCAATAACCACATCCTACCTCTTATTATTTATATACTTTCTCATCCATTTCCTCACTCTAATGAAAAAAATTTTGATATGAATTTCTACAACCCAGTGCCTAGCACTTAGTAGACATGCTAAAAACATTAACTTATCTTACTGTAAATAAAGGAAATTTTTTTCATATTTAAAGTTTAACATGTAAGTTTAACATATAAGAATGACAAATTTACTTGTCCTTCATTTTTATTAAAAGAGTTCACATCCTTAGAAAATAAGAAGAAAGCAGTATAAAATAAACATCAAGTAGCATATAAAGTTTTCTATGAGAAATAAAAGAATTTTGAAAAGAATTCACAAATATATTTTTGAGCTATGCTCTTTAAAACTTCTAAAATAATGTGTCTGCAATCTATTCACTGAATTTTCCTGTGTATGTAGCCAGTTAAAAATAGAAAATATTTTTCTACTTAAATCTTATTATTTCTTATAAAATTTTATATCCCAGTGGAAGGAAATTATTTTCTTTAAATTTGTTCTCTTTAGTTACAGAATTATTTGATGGCTTTCTTTCCTTGGTTTCCATACGGGGAAACAGCGACTCTGAAGGTCTGTCTCATGTGATGCAGTTGCACAGGCAATGTTTTAGCTCTCAGAAGTAAAAAAGGGGCATAAGTCTCTCTACACCCTCCTCCAATGACGGGTGCTGTGGGAACAAGTATGGGATGATTGCTGACCTTGGAGCCTGGAAATACTGTGGCCTGGCAGGAGTCGTAAACTGTGGAATACCATCCTGATAGCTTCAGTCAACCACAATTAGGATGATTTGGGCTCACTCTTAACATCCAAAGCCAAGGTTAAAATATGCATGCCTTTATATTTTTCAGATATTTTAAACGCCACGTTCAATCAGCTTGTTTTTAAAGTCCGTGTAGCTCTAGTCACATGATTGATTTTCACTCAAAGAAATAACACAGTGGACACTCATCTCCAATACACTCTTGGTGGTTTATTTTTAAAGAGATTTGTTTATATCTTGCAGTGTTCAGTAAAGTGAGAAATAAATTTAGAACATCAGCAGAGTGAGAAGTTTAAACTTTGAACTACAGTAAAGTGAGAAATAAACTTTGACCTTCAGTAGAGTGAGAAGTAAACTCTGCATTTCATTTCTTTAAGCATGACCATGTGATTTTTTTTTTTTTTTTATGTAACCTTCTCATATAGACATGGTGTGCCTGGAATATACTCAGCGTGGTGTTAAAAATAAAAATGCATACAAAACATCTTATTCATATGTTTAAAAAAATTAAGCCAATACTGCAAATAAAATCTTGGAGTTCTGGTGTATAAAAAGATTCAGGATCTCATGGGAAGGTAGTGGAATACATAATGGAACGGGACGAATTATGTAGTGAAGATATGACTAACACTGAAATATGGATATAAATTCCTTTCATCTGGAACACACTGTAGAGGAAGTTTTTCATGCATAATAATTTTAGCAAGCTACCTTATTTGTAATTTTATTTTATGATTTCCCCTACTGGAACCTTTTCAAGGAAACTAGTCAGTGTTGAGAAAAACAAAAATCTGTTCATTTTATTTTTATTTTTTTTCTCTCCACATAGACAGTTTTCCTTAAAACATACTTTCTCAGGAATTTCTATAGATATTTAGCTTTCTTCATGTTTTCTCAGAGGAAAAGAACATATGTGAAGGCATCTGTAAAACCTATAAATACAATGGAACAGAACCCTATTGCACAGAAATTTTGCTCATCCAAGTTAAGAATATTTCTTAAATTCTGGATTTGTTCCAGATGGCTATTCTGAAACGTTTTGCTTTATTTCGGTGAAATTATAGTGTTTTGGGCAACTTGTGAATCTTGATATTCTGGCAGGAATTTGCCTTATTGAAGTGAGGAATTACATTTATCAAAGCAGCAGAAAATATGTAACAATAACAATGGGTTTTCAAAGCAAGATTTATAATACACAGAGGTCATAGTTCAAATAAGATCAAAACATGTCCAAATATGATTTTCAAATACAAATTTGCAAACACGTTAGTAGTAAACATTTTGAATTTTAATGATCAGTTGAAGAAAAGCCTCTACTGTATTTGCTTCTAATCCTGGGAACTTTTCTGGGACTGAGATAAAATATCAGACAGTTTTAACAGTGTGAGCCAGCTAAACATTATATAAGGGAATTTCTCACAATGATGAAGCATCTTCAATGCCATCTATTTTATGATTTAACTATGTTAGATTCCAGAATGAAATTCTAAGAGGAAATAATAGAAGTAACAGTGGGATTTATTTTTAAAAATGCCTTTTATCTTTTCACAATGTAGCCCACTGAGAAAAAGATCTAGTCTTCAAAGATGGAAGAAGCAGAAATGAGCCAAAACCTATTAATACAATGAGTACATCCAAATTTTAGCAGTGACAGCAGAGCCAGTTCACTCAGAGGTTAGTTAAATAATTATTTTAAGGACTCACTGTCCTTTTTGGGAAAATGAACTGTGCAATGTCAAAAGCTCTCATGATGTGAAAAATTAAAGCAGTTTTGAACATGAATTAAATTCTATCCATAAAATATAGGCTTCACTTACTGAATTACAGAGACACATTAATGTTTATTTAGCATTTTACAGTTAGCAGAGTTATGCTAAATCATAATGGCCACTTATCTCTATGAGACAGGTGTCTCTTGGCCTATGGTAGTTGCCAAGCCTAATGCAGGTTGTATATTACAATAATGGGTATGTTTAGCTGTAGTTGTCCTTGACAAAGGGAAGGAGAAAGTAAATACATAATGAAGTTGCTGTGAATTTTGGGGGGGAAAGTTATTTTTTGGATTATCACTAAATTTCTTGAGGTTTTTCAGTCTGTTGTGTATACTGCTACATTCCAGTGCTAGAACTGTGCCTAAAACATAGTAAGAGATTTAAAAATATATATATTTTTTGAATGAATAAATTATAGTAATACAAAGAGTTGACAAAAGAATAGTGTAAGGAGACCCATTAAATGTATATATTATTTGGAAGATTGCTTTTTTCTATTTTAAGGGCATTAAAAATATGGATATATGTTAATTATTATGCTTTCATTTAATTACTCTCTTAATATGGTGCTGATGATTCCTCATTTAGATTAGGTTGGAGTGGAGATGCCAAGAAAGAGAATCTGTGTATACATAAAAAAATCTATGCATAAAATACCCACTCTTCTCTGGCAGTCTTTAAAACTTTGTCATTCCTAACCCAAGGGCCGCTTCATCTATTATGTGCAAGATTCCCAAAGTAACCTTACCAGAATACGTACGTGTCATTCCTCATTTCTCAATTCAGAATCATTTCACAAGTCCCTAAAGGCTACAGAACAAATTCAGCATGAAGTCAAGATCCCTCATAATCTTGCTCCCTTATACCTTTGCAGGCTTCATCCCTCCACTTACCTATTACACAGCTGTATTTCTAGACTGCATCATTCCTTGCACCTAACATGTGCAATATTGTGTCTGTTCTTTTATTGCTATTATTTTAGTGGCTTGATACATCTGTTTTGCCTTTGACTCCATTAAATTCTCCTTGTCCTTTAATGTTGTGATCAGATACAAAGTTTTGGTATTAGCATTCCACCATGCTGATTCCTGTTTCTTCTACCTATGCATTGGGTTGGCCTAATTCGGGCCAGACTCCACTTAATGACTCAACAGATACTTAATGATGATAAATTGTAAAAATAAGCCACAGATGAATTGTACTGAATGTAACAAAATGCATTTTACTTATATTCAAATAGTATGAATTCACAGGCCGAAGATGAAAATATCTAGTTCAATAAGATATGTCAATAATGAAAACTAAAGTGCATAGAAGCTGTTAAAGATGAAGCTTTATTTAATGTCATTATTTTGACTCTTACTTGATGTTCAACACTGAATTTATAATTTGAAATAAAAAGGGTGCAGCCTCTGAAGTTATTTTGATTCATTTATTTCTGTTCCAGTGCCATTTTTGTTCCTATTTGTTCTATCAAAGTGATTCATCTTTTCTTTGTTTTCACCCATCACTGCTTCTGGATTTCTTCAAGTGGAATATTTAGTGCCAAAGTTTCCATCATATTTTGCACTTATTCTTTGTTTATCTCATAAAATGAGAACAATAATACATAATTTTAATTTAGCTTTTATTCTCTGCTTTGCATCATATTAAGTATTTTCACATGGACACTTTCATGCAGTCCTGTCCCACCCTGTGTTGTTATTATTCCCATTTATAATTCTCACAACCACTTTTGAAGTTACTGATAAACTATTTTTCAGAAATAAACACTGAGTTGCCAGCAAAAATATGAGGTGACAAACTTTATTAATCATCAAAGGAGGCCAGGCCTTGTGGCTCATGCCTGTAATCCCAGCACTTTGGGAGGCTGAGGCGGATGGATCACTTGAGGTCAGGGATTCGAAACCAGGCTGGCCAACATGGTGAAAGCCCATCTCTACTAAAAATTAGCTGGGTGTGATGACACGCTCCTGTAGTCCCAGGTACCCGGGAGGCTGAGGCCGGAGAATCACTTGAACCTGGGAGGCAGAGGTTGCAGTGACCCGAGATCACACCACTGCACTCCAGCCTGGGCAACAGAGCAAGACTATGTCTCAAAAAACAACAACAACAAAAAAAAAAACAGAAAAGAAAAAGAAAACAATAAAATTACAATCATACACCTCTACATAGAATGGCTAAAATGAAAAGGACACACAACAATATCAGTTGTCTCAGATGGAATAATAGAAATTCTCCCACACTGCTAATAGGAGAAAAAATTGGTAAATAACTTCAGAAAACTGTTCAGCATAATCTACTAAAGGTAAACATATGCATATCCTTTAAGCCACAAATTTGACTCCCAATTAAATGCCCACAAAAATGTACAAATATGTTCATAAAAAAATATGGACAAGGATGTTCATTGCAACAATATTTGTAATAGCTAAAACCAAAAATTACTAATGCCCACCAATATCAGAATGAATAAATAAACTATGGTGTATTTACAACATAATTCGCACATGGCAAAGAGAAAGAGCAAAATTTAACTATGTGCAATAACATAGAGGGACCTTATAAATATAATGAGCAAAAGAAGTCAGATGCTAAAGAATACACATTTTATTCCATTTATATAGAGTTCTAAAAGAGGTAAATGTAATACAAATAGTGGAAGTGAGAACAGTGGTTACCCTGGAGAGGTAGAAGAATGTTCTATTTCTTGATCTGGATATTGGCTATATGGATGTGTTCAGTTTGTGAACATTCACCGAGCTTCACACATAGAAGTTTTGCACTTTTCAATATGTATATTGTTCTTCAATTGAAATTTTATAGGTAAGAGTAAAGATTTAATGTCTTACATTGTGATCTGAGGCTGAAACTCAGCAGTCAAACTGTGAACATGAAGCAACTTCATCACAAAATAGCTCTTCAGTTAATGCACAATTGTCAGATTGACTTGAGGTCAAATGGTGAGTTGGAAATAATGTAGAGTTTAAATGTCACAACAAAATGTCCCTGCTATGCTCTGGTCTCAACCTCCACCACTCTTGCTCTTCCTAACCAAGCTCAGCCTCAGAGTCTCCTTGCAGCTGTTCAAACACATGATGCTCTTTCCAGCCTCAGAGCCTCTGCCCCAAACTCTTTCATCTGCAGCAAACGCTGTCTCTCCAAAGATAGCTACAAAGCTCGCTTCCTCATTTCCTTTAAGCCTCTGCTTAAAAGTCATCTCATCAGAGAGACCCACCCTCATGTCCCTATTTAAAAAGAATGGCGCTCATTAAAAACTCAGGAAACAACAGATGCTGGAGAGGATGTGGAGAAATAGGAACACTTTTACACTGTTGGTGGGACTGTAAACTAGTTCAACCATTGTGGAAGTCAGTGTGGCGATTCCTCAGGGATCTAGAACTAGAAATACCATTTGACACAGCAATCCCATTTCTGGGTATACACCCAAAGGATTATAAATCATGCTGCTATAAAGACACACGCACACGCATGTTTATTCTGGCACTATTCACAGTAGCAAAGACTTGGAACCAACCCAAATGTCCAACAATGATAGACTGGATTAAGAAAATGTGGCACATATACACCATGGAATACTATGCAGCCATAAAAAAGGATGAGTTCATGTCCTTTGTAGGGACATGGATGAAGCTGGAAACCATCATTCTCAGCAAACTATCGCAAAGAAAAAAACCCAAACACTGCATGTTCTCACTCATAGGTGGGAATTGAACAATGAGAACACATGGACACAGAAAGGGGAACATCACACACTGGGGCCTGTTGTGGGGTGGAAGGAGGGGGGAAGAGATAGCATTAGGAGATATACCTAATGTTAAATGACGAGTTAATAGGTGCAGCACACCAACATGGCACATGTATACATATGTAACTAACCTGCACGTTGTGCACATGTACCCTAAAACTTAATGTATAATAAAAAAAAGAAAAAAAGAAAAAATAATAATAAAATAAAATAGCAACTTCTGTCCACCTCAGTACCTTACTTTATTTTCACCACTGATATTATTACCTATGTCGTTTTAAAGTTTTGCTTATTTAACTACCTCTGACCACTCAAATGTAAGCTCCATGAGGACAGTGATTTTGTGTTGTTTGGCTTATGATAACCTCAATGCATAAAATAGTCCCTGGAAATATATAACACGTATATGATAACTATTTTTATTGAATGATATTAACACATTATTAAAGCCACTGTCAATCTCCAGCATATCCAAAAGTCCCTCTTTTTCTGCTAAGTTGAAGAAGACAAAGGTAGTCAGAGAAATGTTGCCAGAAGTATCAGGTCCCTAAACCCACCTACCTCACTCTCGATGACGCTTCTCAAGACCTCTCTCACAATGTGAATGTTCAAATAGCCTCTTCTCTCTCAAAACATTCTCCTCTCAAGCCATCATCTTCAGCAAACTAACACAGCACCAGAAAACCAAACACCACATGTTCTCACTCATAAGTAGGAGTTGAACAATGAGAACACATGGACACAGGGAGGGGAACATCACACACCGGGCCCTGTCGGTGCGCTCAGGGGAAAGGGGAGGATAGCATTAGGAGAAATACCTAGTGCATGAGAGGCTTAAAACCTAGAAGACTGGTTGATAGGTGCAGCAAACCACCATGGCATATGTATACCTATGTAACAAATCTGGACATTCTGCACATGTATCCCAGAACTTAAAGTAAAATTAAAAAAAAAAAAGAAGAAAAAAAAAATCCTCCTCTCAGGAATTGAGTCCTCAATTGTCAGATACATTTTGAAACATCAATTTGGAACCCCCAAAGTCCCAAGTTGTCTTTTTCATTTCCTCATTATGCTTTTGTGTTTTCTCTTTTGGACTCTTTAACTTATATGTATAACAAAAATAATGGAATCAATTTTCATTCCCATTCATTGCACAAAAACTGATCAGCATAGACAAATAAGTGTGCATTTTGTGATCCTGGCTGAGGTAACTATGAATAACTCTGTAAGTATCTAGTTATGTACCTCACCAAGACACTGCTCAAGAGAGGTACTAAGAAAGTAGCATTATTAGGAAGCTAGGTGGGAAAGGAAACAGATGGTCGCATGTGAATCCAAATTGATACTCATTTTGTTTTTCAATGGAAGCTCCTTTAAGGAAAAGATTATTGTAAAAAAAAAAAAAAGAACTGAAAATAAATAAAAGACAAAAGATTTGAGACTTCAAGCGTAATGAAGAACTTTTAAAATTTTTCCTACTATTTTTTTCTTCTTTTTAGAAATATTGACGTCACAAAACCAGAGACATTTGGCACAGAGTGACTCACACCAGGGCTCATCTCTAATTTTTCAGATTTTGCTTTTTAAAGATTCAAAGTTAGTGGGAAAGGCAAAAATGTATTATTTGACTTAAATTCAATATGCATTGGCATTACTTACAGTGATTTTGAGAGCTTTTTAACAAAGGAGAAAAGATTGCTCCATTGACAGTGAAATTAGAGAATTGTGCAGGTACATTATGTTGAGCTGACAATGAAACATCTATGGCACACCTGTTTTATGCCAAATGATACAATAGCATGAGAAAATCAGTGAGGCAGCATTGTTCTCAGTAGTTTTAAAGGCAAGAGGTCATGGAGACAATGCTGACATGGGCTCATTTTTAATGGATTTAAAATTAGTTTCTAACCTATTGAAATCATGCACACCATGTGAAATGACTCTGATTATTGCAGAAAGGGAGCTGGATAATGGAAAAAACCGAAATATTCATCATGTTCTTTCTCTCTAGTGCCTCCCACTGCCTGTTCCCTCTTGATCCTGCAGCAAGTCCACGATTACCCAAGCAACAGCATCATTTGAGGACCTAAAGCTTAAAAGTCAGCCAAAGAGGGTGTTTGTTTCATCCTCTGACCCAGCTCCTGGCCCTATTTTTTAAAGTTGTACACTTAGATAATCCTTTGTTCATCCAATTGTTATGAAGCCAGCTGTCACCAATCAGATCATAATCCTCTTTTAACACTTTCCATAATCGTGCTTGTTAAGAAACAGGAGCAATTGCATCAAACTGAAAAGAATTCAGTGGGAAAAAGATTGATTAGGAAAAGACCAGTGCTGCCTCAAAACTTTCATCATTCCTTTCAGACTGATAATTTCTAAATTTTATTAATAAGAAACTCAGGATGACCTGAAAATGTGAAGAGCTAAGAAATTAAAGACTCTATAACAAGATTCATTTTTACCCAAGTCTGCTATTTTATATATAAAAAAAAGTTCTGTGTTAAAATCAACCCAAATTTCCCTTGGTGGGAGAATGGAAGAAAAAATTGTGTACCTTCATACAGTGGAATACAACTAAGCAATAAAAGAGAATGAGTTATGAATAAATGCAACAACATGAATGAATCTCAAATGTACTGTGGTAAGTGAAAGATGCCAAACCCAAACAGCTGCATACAGTTTGATTCCATAGATATGGCCTTCTGGAAAATTTTAGACTACAATGTTAAAAATGAGATCAGTAGTTGCCAGAGGCTAAGAGTGGGTAAAGGGAATTGACTATGAAGGCACAGTAGGGAATCATTTGAAGTAAATGGAATTGTTCTATGTCTTAATTGTGGTGGTGTTTCCATGACTGACTATACAGTACATTTTGTCAAAACTCACAGAATTTCATACCATAAAGGGGTAAATTTTACCATATATAAATTATGCATTTATATAATATATCAATAAACCTTATTTTAAAAATTTTCTTGGTTGAGAATTTCATATCCTTAGAATTTTTGTTAAAAGAATGGCACACCACACACGTATGTTTATGGCAGTACTATTTACAATAGCAAAGACTTGGAACCAACCCAAATGCCCATCAATGATAGACTGGATAAAGAAAATGTGGCACATATACACCATGGAATACTATGCAGCCATAAAAAGAATGAGTTCATGCCCTTTGCAGGGACATGGATGAAGCTGGAAACCATCATCCTCAGCAAACTCACACAGGATCAGAAAACCAAACACCGCATGTTCTCACTCATAAGTGGGAGCCGAACAGTGAGAACACATGGACACAGGGAGGAACATCATACACTAGGGACTTTTGGGGAGTGGGGAGAAAAGGGATGGAGAGCATTAGGACAAATAACTAATGCATGTGTGGCTTAAAACCTAGACGATGGGTTGATAGGTACAGCAAACCACCATGGCACATATATTCCTATGTAATAAACCTGCACATTCGGCATGTATATACCAAAACTCAAAGTAAAATAACAATTAAAAAAATGGCACACCAGTCTTCTTTTTCTCCCTGCAATATGCTGTGATGCATGCCAGAAGATGTTATGATTCAATATTCCTTCTGAGTTATAGGCATTACATGTTGTTTTTTGATTCGGTGATGTGAGCCAGAGAAAGTGAAGGTCATAGCCTTTTTCTTCAACAATAAACAGCAGTTTTGTTGAAGACGTGCCTGCTTGTTACTGCACAATATACTTAGAGTTCAGCACAATTAAAACATTTGAAATATTCTTCATTATTGTTTAGAGCTCTTTAAGTTTTAACAGAAATCCACTTCAAACTAGAGTTAGAAAATAAAAATTGGAAAGTCAACAGGATAACTTGTAGAAGGCAACAATATGACATGACCGTTCAAAATCTGTTTAACTGACCTGGATGCTTCAAAAATATCAAGGATATTGTGGTAGTTTTAAGCCATGGATGTAAATTCCTTGACACTATTCCCAATAATATATGGGGGAGGGGGATGTCTGGGTTCCCTCCTCTGTGACTGTTTTGATCAACACAGTAGAGCTGAAGTGACAGCATGTGACTCTGAGGCTAGGTTATTAAAGGCCTTGCAGCTTCTAAATGTAGTGTTGGAATATGTGGTCATGAAGCCATGAGCAGTTATGTAAGATGTCTAACTACCCTGCAGCCACCATGTTGTAAGGAAGCCTAAGCCACATGGAAAAGCCGTGTGTGAGTGTTCCGAGTGATAGTCACAGCTGAATCCAATCCTAGAATCATTCAAGCCCAAGCCCTAGGCATGTCAATGAAGAACACTCCAGGGCATTCCAGCCTCCAGCTACTCAGGTGCTGAAGCACCAGCATCGTGGAGCAAAGACAAGCCATCTCCACTGTGCCCTGTCCATTTTTTTATATTTACAGTATCTATGACCAAAATTAAATGGTTGTTTTTTAATGGCATTAAGTTGCTAAGCTTTTAGGGTAGTTTGTTATGCAACAGTAGATAACTGTGAACAGGCATGGGACAGAAAACCAACAAACAAACAAAACAAAATAAAACATCGGGGTCTATTTTAGATTGAAGGAGACTAAAAGAATCTGACAACTCAAAGCAAAACATGATGCGGATTTTATCCTCGGTGGGTGGGAGTGACGCCAAAGAAAATATTAGGGACAAAGAGGGAATTTTCAAAATAAGGACTTGCGGTAGCAGGGAGCAAAATTAAAAGAAAAGCTAATTAAGAGAGATAAGGAGAGAGCAAATCTAGGCTCTGGAGTCATTCGGCCTGGGTTCAGATTGTTGCTATCTGCATTACTAGTTCTAAGGCCACAGGTAGATAAACTCTGCCTCCATTTATAGGGTTGTAAGAGTCCTTAGTCATCTGGCTGCTATAGAGATTGAAAGAGACAGTATATCATATGTAAAGTGGTTAGAATAGTTTCTGGCAAACAGTACATGCTCAGTAAATGTTATTACTGATAGTGATTATTTCCAAACAAAGAAAACGACTATGAACCGTTATGGAATAAGCCATTATGGAATTAGGGGAGTAGGCAGCTGTACCTTGTCTCCTTCTCAACTTCTCTCTGTGTGTCTGCTTTTATTTTTTCCTCTCTGCAGAATAATTTGAACTCCTTCTGAATACGTCTAACTCTCTTGTTTCTGTTTCCTGTTCAAGCAACGAGTCCAGACTCTTTAGTGTCTCAATCTTACTCCCAGATACTGAAGAGAGACATTTTGATTAATATACCTTGGGTCACCTGAACATCAAGATCCAATTAGCTATAGAAATAGGTTGGACACGGTCCCATTTTAATAGAAATATGATTGTTGAGGCCCAAGTTCTCTTAGAAGGGCAACTCTATGGAAGAGGAAATGGGCCACGGAGACACCTTCTTAAGCAGAAGATTATTTGAATATGGATTGGCTGTAGAAAATTTTATTTCTACAATTTTAATATGAAACAATTTTAATATGAAAATTAGAATTTAATCTGATTTTTTTAATCTCAAAAGAATATAGGTGATAACCTAGTGAAATGGGTAAACCAGGGCTTAAAGAAATGTCATGCTTGTCTAATTCTGTAATTTTGTAATTCTTCCCAAGCTGCAATTAAATGATTGTTAAGAAGGTGTTGCTTACCTCCTCTAAAGCTAGTAGCCCGGGAAAGAGCAGAGTGTGATGATGAAATCATTTTATGTTTTGTAAAACAAATGTTGTATTTGTGGAACTACGTTACTACAAAACAGTAATAAAATGAAGCGACTTCTTAAATTTAAGTGCGTAAGTGTTGCAGGAATATATTCTCATAAAAACATGGGTAAAACAGATGCTGCAAACACTTCAATAATCACAAATCAGATGTGCACAAAAATAAATCTCTGTTTTACAACTGTGCATATTTTCCTGATCTCTGATGATCCATTTTCACTCATCACTGGAAAATGTAATATAGTCTCTTCTAATGGATTGCAGGGTATGAGGACTTGAATTTTTAATTATATGGCCAAATAACATTTTCCAAAAATTTGTATAGTCCTTGTCAAAATGCCAATTCATACTCCCACTACAGTGCATGAGAGCATCTACTTCCCTACATTTTTGCCAAACTAGATGCTTTAAATGTCTTTAATTTTGACATCCAAGTGCCAGTTGAGTTCAGTTCTATTCTGATGATGATCAGTGACTTTGAGCATCTTTTCTTTGTTTAATTCTCCTTCTGTATTTGTCTGTATATACCATTCCCACATTCCTCTACTGTGCTATTTGTCTTTTTCTTGTTGATTTGTAGAAGCTCCTTATGAGTTCTGGATGGTAATCACTTTTCAGTTATATATCGTGACAGGATGTTCTCAAAAAGAATACATTTGAACCTAAAACAAACAAATGAAAATCTTTATGCACAGCAGGTTGAGAAGATGGACAGGGATTCGTAAGGGATTTCTTAACAGAGGCTCTGCCTGGTGCGAGTCCTCCTGCCTGAGCCCAGGTCCCACAGAACCAGCAAAGCGCCTTCCTTCCCTTCACACCAAGGAGCAACGTTCTCCATGCGGTTGCAGGTGGGAAAAAGCAGACTACTGTCTGCCTCTTCTTCAAGAGGTCTAGACGGTGACAAACTAGTTAGAGAGACTGTAAAGGGCTACATTTGGGAAGGAAAGATTTTTCCACTCACAGTGGGTCCAAGAATGTGAGTGTCTTTCTCAACTGTGCTTAAATGATCTGGAAGGATGTGGGAGCTCTAACAGCAAGAGTCTGAGGTATAGTCCACCAGTGAATCGGAGGCATGAACCAGGAAGGTGCGAATGCTGTGGTTGGGGTTGAGAGAGGCCATTGGGGTATCCAAAAACCCCACCAAATATCTTATGTAAGAGAGTTCCCTTTAAACATCAGCCAGCCCCAGAACACAAGAAGTCAGCGGTGACAAAATCCATCCCCAGCAAACTGGAAGTTTTCCAGCTCCATATCTTCACCTCTCCTTCCTCCTGCCCACACTTTTCTGCCAGGCAGGGTCTAAAGCCACAGCTAGCTAGAGGGTATGAGGGAAGACGAAATAAAAGAACAAACAGAAGCCAACCACATCCCCCTCTCTAATGGCCGGGGACCCCACCAAATGCAGCACAGAGCTGGCGAGAAGGAGGAGAAATCTTATCTCAGAAGGAAGTTCGAAGTGTTGATTAATATCCTGAACTAAAATGAGAGTGTGTTTTCGACTCTGACACATGAACATAGGACAGAAAAGTCGTGGGGCCCTCTGAAGCTTCTACTCAATAATTTTGAGAGGCTGGGTGCGATGGCTCTTGCCTGTGATCCCAGCACTTTGGGAGGCCAAAGTGGGCAGGTCAAATGAGGTCAGGAATTTGAGACCAGCCTGGGCAACATGGTGAAACCACTTATCTACTAAAAATACAAAAATTAGCTGGGTATGGTGGTGAGTGCCTGTAATTCCTGGTACTCGGGAGGCTGAGGCACGAGAATCTCTTGAACCCAGGAGGTGGAGGTTGCAGTGAGCTGAGATCACACCACTGCACTCCAGCCCGGGCAATAAGTAAGACTCCGTCTCAAAAAAAGAATAAAAAAATTTTGAGGTTGTCTTTTGGAAATCAAAAGGAAAGCTACTTTTTGTTGCATTCTGTGCATCACACATTGATTAAAACACATTGCAAATATTTTTTTCCCAGTGTGCCATTTGGCTTTCTTTATGTTAAAATATGTTTATAGACTTTCTCAATCTTTTAGTTGTCAAATTCATTTATCATTTGAAATGCCTTCTTACCCTATATTATGATACATTCTACTTTTTAAAAAACTCACACCCCATATCTTAGTTTCCTACCATTGTTTTTTAGATACATCTGGAATTCATTTTGTGAATGTTGTAGTGTCAACCCTCTCAGCGGGGGAGAGCTGCCTCGCCCAAGTTCATGCTCCCTTCTGGGGACCAGCCCACATCCAATGACTGATCCTTGTGGGACTATAAATGCTGGCCCTCTGACCCCAGCACTGTACAGCTCTAAAGGGACACCCCAGCTTCACAGCTCCCTTTAGGGTTGGCCCAGGCCTCAACTGAGCCTAAACTGCAGCTCGACATTTCCTGGGGCCCACTGCTGATTCCTTTACATTCCCCAGGTGTCGATCTAAAGAGCAACTCCCCAAAAAACTTCCTGCCAACACATCCCTGTCTCATAAACTGCTTCCCGAAGAACCTGATCTGTAACAAATTTGAAGCAGTTAATCGAATTTATTTTTCTTCCAAATGCAGAATTCACAATCTTAATATACTTTACTGAAGAATTCATCCTTTGGTTTCTGATTTAAAATGCCATCTTTATCACCTATTGAATTTCCCACTGAAAAGAGGTCGGCTTTTGGCCTATTTAGTCTATCTGACTCTTCCATATTTTCTAAAATTATTGCCACACTGTTTTAATGACTGCAGATTTAGAATAAGTTCTGATAGCAGACCAGGAAAGTAATGCCTTATTATTTTTGTTTTGTATAAAAAGTACATTAGCTATTTTTATCTTTATTTTTTCTCCTCCAGATGAGATTTAAATATAGTTTCTCAAGATTTTATAACAATTTCCAAAGTGAATTTTATTTGTAATTGCATTGAATTTATAGCATAATGTGTGGAGAATTGAAATATTTATAATATGGAATTTTCTTATCTAAGATTTTTGCATGGTTCTCTATATACTCATTACCTTTTCTTCCCTTTTGTAGAGTTTCATAATTTTCTTCTTATGTCTTATACTTATTTCTTGATAGATTTATTTCTAGATATTTTGTAACATTTATTACTGGTATCGAATGCTATCTGAGATTTGTAGGTTAGTCTTACATCTGACCATCTTGATAAATTCTCTTACTAGTTCTAACAATATTTTGGTTGATATGGTTAGATTTTCTGGGCAGGTGATATCATCAGTAAATAATGTCAGTCTTTTCATTTCACTTCTAATCAATTTACCTAATTTCTTTCTTGTCATATTATTTTGGTTATGATCACCAACGCAGTGACCATGATAGCAACTATCCTTGCCTTAAGACTTTAATGGGAATTCCTCTGATCTATCACCAATAAGTGTGATTTTTTTTTCCTGAATGCTCCTGGTAGATATCAAATATTTACTTAAGGCTAGACTTAAGGGTGAGTCATCCACAGGAGGCAGAAAAATAATAATAAAGTGAGGTGAACCCAGAAGTCACAGGAAGGAAGACATGGGTCCGATCACCCTCCACAGGTAGCTTCCAGCAAAAATAACCACTCCAGGAAACAGATGACAACTTTAACTAACAATCTAAAGTTGGTAAGTCAATAAATAAAGAGACATACAAAGATTTAATTACAAAATAAAGTTCTTTTGAAAACAAAAACAGATCATTTTCAAATTTTATAATTCAGGAGAAATATTGAAAACAAGAGCAGGCCGGGTGCAGTGGCTCACACCTAGC
The DNA here is from genome assembly GCF_000001405.40 of Homo sapiens. Lineage (NCBI taxonomy): Eukaryota > Metazoa > Chordata > Mammalia > Primates > Hominidae > Homo > Homo sapiens. The sequence continues at coordinate 8,047,975 of NC_000020.11, read as the reverse complement.
ACTTTGGGAGGCCGAGGCGGGAAGATCACGAGGTCAGGAGATGGAGACCATGTGGGCCAACATGGTGAAACCCTGTCTCTACTAAAAATACAAAAATTAGCTGGGCGTGGTGGCACACGCCTGTAGTGCCAGCTATGCGGGAGGCTGAGGCAGAAGAATTGCTTGAACCTGTGAGCCAAGATTGCCTCACCGCACTCCAGCCTGGGCGACACAGCCAGACTCCAGCAGACCAGATATAACAGGCAAGAAGACCCTGTGTTTTTAAATTTCTCTAAACACAAACACATTACAAGGATTTGGCCATCAAGAGGTGAACCAAAAGCAATTTGGAGTGAAACTCCAGAAACTCTAATATGCTGTAAGTAGGAACAGATGAGGGGGAGGCAGTAATTAAATAATAGAAAAAAACCACCCTAAGTGGAGGCAAGATAGTTTCTTCGTGGTTAAAGGATGAAATGAGCTCCTGACAGAGCTGAATAAATGAAATCTGGAATTCCCTGGTAAACTTCCTGAACTTGAAGAATAAATTTGTACAAAATTTAAGAAAGGAGGAAAACATTTCTTTAAGAAAAAGGGAAATTTTAATACTGACACTGTAGTTCCAAGACAAAAATAAAAAGAACACAAGTTTTACAATATTAATAGCACATGAGAGAGAGTTTAAGATTGAAAGCCTTAACAGGATAAAGAAATATCACATAAGATGAAAGGCACAATTGTCTGGTGCCTCCAGTCCTATTGATGGACAGGTGTGTTGCCCCTTCAGTAGACCAAAAAGTGATGGAAGCAGATCTCAGTCAATTAGAATTTTATTTTGCCAAGGTTGAGGGCAGGCCTGGGAAAAAGAAATTCAAGTCACAGTAGAACCTGTGACTTGTGTTTTTCCCCAAAAAATCTTGGGGAGCTTGTGCTTTTTCCAGGAAAAAAAGCTTGAGGGCTTGGGGATTTCAATATTTAAAGGGGAAAGAGCAAGCAGGAGAGAGAGAAAAAGAAAAAAGAAAAAAAAAATAGAAGGGTGGATAGGCAAGGAAGCAAGTGGTTACATTCTTGTGAAGTTCTGATTAGCACTCAGTGAATCTACATTTTACATGGGAAAAGAAGGGAATAGAAGAAAAAGTCAGTTATGCACTCATCGTGTGCTCAGTAAATCTACCTTTTACATAAAGTAAGCCTGTGAAATTATAGCCATCACTTTGTGAATGAAAGGAAGGAGGTTTTTGCATGACTCAGTTCCCAAGCTTAACTTTCTCTTCAGCATAGTGAGTTTGGAGTCCTGAGATTCTATTTTCCTTTTACTCTCTTTGGGGCTGTTATGAACATCCCTGTATATGTCTCCTGGGGCATATGGGCAAGGGTGTCTCTAGGGTGTATACCTAGGTCTGGGATTGCTGGGTTGCAGGCTGTCCTCATGGTCAGCATTAAAAGGTAATGCCAAAAAGCTTTACAAAGTGATATGAAAAAATTCATTATATTCCATTTTTATATAAAATTATGTAAATTAATCTGCATACATAATAGGATAGTGAGATTTCAGGCAACTTCTACTTTCTTTTGTATAATTTTATGTATCTTCTAAATTGTTTTAGAAAGCAAGCATTATGTAGTCTGAAAAAAGTTCAGTAAAGGTAGGTTCATTAAAAGAAAAAATGTGACTCTTCAAAAATCAGTAGTTACAGTAATTTATATGCTAAATAAGAAAAGCAAGCTCAACATCTCATTAAACAAAATAAAACTGAGCCATCTACTGTAGTCCATTATCTGAGAAATGTTACAGATAAACAGAAGCTACCAAAATAGATAAGAAATCATAATCCTTTAATCTGCATCCCAGCTAATTTAATTTTCCTGACAAAACTTCTTCCCAATTAAACTGTGGCTAATTTTTGAAAAAGTCATGCTGGTGAATGAGAAAGAAATGTCCAAATGGTTTAGTTTGACCCCGAGAAGCAAGAAGTTTTATAAAATATAATCTGTTCTTGCTAACTATGAACAATGTAATAGTCAGGATTCATTAAACATATCCAATTTCCTTTCACGATTATATAGGATACTAATGTTTTCAGTTTCAGGATCAAAGTGTCTTCTCTTTTTAAGAGTTCTTGAACTGTATTTTTCCAGTCAGTTTAAGTAATAATGTTTGTAAAAATATGTTTTTGTTGTAGAATCAAGGTAAATATTTAGCCAAAATTGGTGACGTGTTTGTTAAGTCTCCCTTTGTGTTTTTTCTGTCCTATCATTAAGAAGCTCTTTTATTTGCAGAATAAATATAAATGTTTACTACGTATTGGTTTAATTCTTATTGTCTTAGATCAGAAATTCACCAAGATTTCAATAGAGAGGATTAGAAGAGCACTTCAGATGAAGAGAGGGGTTTATCAGTTAGGAGACACAAATTGCACCGGTTCTGTTGACGGTGAGGAATTCAATGTAAAGAAGTGTAACGCAGCAGTGAATAAATAAAGGGCAAAAGAAGGTATCACTGAATTGGAGCTGCAGGAAACAAGGACCATCCCATGGGCTAGGAGAACATAGGCAAGGTATCGGACTGATTAAAATGAGAACTGTAGAGAAGGGACCCTGTGAGCTGAAACTCAGACCTCTATAGAGGGATGTTAATTCATCTTGGAGAAGGATCCCCGTGGGGCTGGGACCCCGACCTCTGAGGAGGACAGTTAGTAGCGGATGTTGGTGTCTCTGAGCTCAGAGGAGGATCCTCACGGCGTGAGAAGTTGGCTACATATTAAAGTAAATTCTAAAACGTAATACTAGGTCAGAAATAGACTGCTCGCTGGAAATGAGAAGACAATAATAGGAAATATATAGCTATTAACTAAATATATTCTACACATCCTCACATAATTAAATGGGCCTCTTTTGTTACATGGTGATTAAGTGATTTTGAGTGGCTTCTCCATGTTACACAGGAAGTCACATGCTCCAAGCAGATATGGAATTTACTCTGTGTCTTATTTAGTAAGCACATGATCCATTTCAGCATCATCTGATTTTAGACACTTGAAGAATTATAGTTTCTTCACTCCCCTTTGTGTTTGATCACTATGACAAGGAAACTTTTAAAGCAAGTGTGGGAAAATATGATTAAGGAGATGAAACAAAGACACAATTTAGTGACTCTGTGATTGTATTTGATACCCTGTTACAAGTGGCAAATTCAGTATCACTTAATTGCCATTTAAAAGAAATAGCATATTACTAGAATGATAATCAGCTTAAGAAGAATGGAGAGACAACAGCCAACTGAATACATTCATTCATAGGACAAATATTTATTGAGTTCTTGTTGTTTTTCAGACTCTGTCCTAGGTGGGTAAACAAAAAATTGATTCTGCAAGTTGGAAAGTCAGCCAAGTTCTGGACTTAGCCTTTATTTACAAGACAATAAGCAAAGGTATATATGTTGCTGTTTAACACTTGCCCTCTGCATTACTTTAAATTTATATATAATGCATATAGTATATATAATTTATACATATAAACCTATATTATTATTATTACCTATATTATATTATTATTAATATAATATTAATATTATATTAATATTTTGGGGGGACAGGATCTCACACTGTCACCTAGGCTGGAGTGCAGTGGTGTAATCGTGGCGCACTACTGCCTCGACCTCTTGGGCTCAGGCGATCCTCCTGTCTCAGCCCCCCAAGTAGCTGGGAACACAGGTGTTCACCACCAGGCTCCAGCTAATTTTTAAATTTTTCTGTAGAGACGGTCTTACTCTGTTGCTCAGGCTGGTCTCGAACTCCTGAGCTCAAGCGATCCTCCTGCCTTGCCTTCCTAAAGTGCTGGTATTACAAGCGTAAGTCACCGCGCCCAGCAATACCATTTTAAATATAGATATTATGCTTATGTGAAGTATTAAAAATTGCAAAAAAAAAAAAAAGAAAAGATTTCTGTCCTCTAGGAATTCATAGTAACTTGCAGTTATCTGAGTCATAATTATATTTGTATAATAAAGAATACTTTAGAATAAATAAATCGGTGCATGAATAACGGAATACTGAGAAGATTCCACTGCATGTAAGATTTGACTGCGTAGTTATAATCTCTATCGCCATCTAGCGGCAACAATATTAAAATCAGCTAGAACCAATCAGCAGGAAGCGATTCAGAACTCACCTGTCCGGGAGGATTCAATCTTACCTCAGGAACCACATGCCATAGAATGTGATTTTCTCTCTTTGTTTTTGGTCAGTATGCAGTAGAATGAGTGATGTGGGCAGTTTATATATTAATTATAAGCTTTCTTATTTAGACTTTAAAAGAAGGGTGTGAAAGCGAATATAAAACATGTTTATGCATTATTTCACTTAGAAACCTACATTATCTTCACTTTAGAAACAATTTTCATTTTCCTCTTAGCACATCAAAGGTATATGTTGCTTCAGAAACAATATTTATAATATCTTCTTTTAGATAAAAATGTGAAAATTATCTGTGATTAATTTTATTTAAACAATTTGAAGATATATGACATCTTTTCTGAGCTTTTTTTTCCTGGTTTCAGTAGCAATTAGAAGAGTGATAATCAGATTTAATAAGAATACCCTGAAAAAATAAAATAAGAATAAAATTTTGCTTTTAAAGTTATTTTGGCATAATATCAAAAAGGCACACCAGTTAAACTTTGAAAGACATATGAACCTTAACTCATTCTTGTAGGAAAGGCCATGTGATTAAGTGAATACGTTTCTATAACATCGTTTTCTAATTTATCTTAAATTTATAAGCATGTGTGTTGATCATTATAATTGAATTTATTGTTTTTTGGTCTGGCTAAGTGACTCAAAATTATTTTTAAATAAATGTGCTGAGTATAAAACAGGAGGTATATGGGATATACAATTATTTTTGCCTTGACCTTAATGTTCATTCATCACAGAGGCATCACATAGATTAAATAAAACAAGTTGCATATCTGCACAAAGGAAAAAATGCAGAAATGTTAGGTTTGGGTTTACAGGGTGCAGAGTTAAAATAATCATATATCTCAATTCTTGGGACACGATCTTTATTTTATACAAAGCCCCTCTATTTTGTTACACTCTCCCCTCCCCCACTGTTTCACTCTCAATTTCATTCGGTTTCTTATTTATTTTCATCTAAGCTCTTCTTAGGTTCTTCCCCTTACTGTTTCTACTTCCAATTATTTGTGACTAGTGTGTCCATAGTATTCCCACTTTTTTGTTTCCATTTTTTCTGGTGATAGAAAACCAGGTTGCCTCCTCCTCTTGGTACCACAAGTAATGTTTACATAAAGCACCTTTACATATGACCCTCATGCAGGAATTTTCCTGGTTTATATTCTCAGGGATTTTCATATCTGTAAACTATAGGGATTTTACAGATATGATTTCACAAAGTAATGATTTCTCTTCAGTATACGATACTGTCCAGACTTCTACCCTGAGTGCAGAAGGGCTTCCCATTTCCCCACAGCCTTATCAATATTTGATATATATGCCTGTGGGGGATTGTCTTTGCTGAAGTCTTTACTGTTACATCTCAATATTCTGATTTCCAGTGTGGTAAAGTGTATCTTCATATAATTGTTAGTCATTTTTGTTTCTACTGTGAATTCCTTATTCATATATTTTGCCCATTTTTCTATTGGGTACCTATTCTTTTCTTTATATCTTTGGATATTATTGATATTAATATCTTAACATTTTTGAAAGAACATTTAACTTCTCCCAAAAATTGTCTATGATGTCCTACATTGAACAGGAACTCACAATTTTGTGGTAGGCAAATTTTACTTGTCCCTTTTTTTTTTCAGTACTTCTTTAAAAACCATTACCTACTCACACTCAGTTGATCATATAGTGTAAGGAAGAAATCTGACTTTGTTTATCCAGTTTAATAACATTACATCTTCCAGTACAAAAGCCATCATTTCCCCACTGATTGGAAGTGCAACCAAGTCTGTTCCAGGACTTTTGTTTTTATTTTTATGCCCTGTAGCATGTCTTTGTTTCTGGTGGGACTGGATTTCATCTAGAGCCCACAATTCCTACCCTGAGGAGAACTTGTCTAACACAGAGCTTCTGTGGAAACAGCAGGGACATGGTTAGAGGGGCAGAGCCACCTCAGGAGTCACCATTCCCTGGCGACTGGGGGGATCAACACCAGCTTGAGCCCAGAGTTAGAACTTAAGATCACTACCTTCAGGGAAGGGACCAAAACCAGAACGGGTAATGGCTAACCAAGGCTTGGCATTGTAATTGATAAGGAGGACAGGGCTTATAAAGTCTTCTGATCATTTTTCTTCCTTTATCTCATTTAAAAAAAAAATCTAGCCAAAGTAGGTTTTGTCTCAGAGAAGGGAGCCGTCCACAAATTTAACAAATTCTAAAATCAAGAGACCCTGAGCAACCCAAGATTGGAATCTTGGATATTTCCTCAAATTTTCATAAATGTTATCATAGTACAAATGAATATTAATTATAACATTATAAAAGGCTCAAATGTTATATTAACTCAGATTTAAATTACTCCTTGCTGTAAAAACATCAATGTACTTCTCTTTTCTGGTTAATTTTCTTTTTTCATTTACTGTGCTTTAATGATATTTAAATTTTTTGTAAAAATTATTTCTCTCTGCTCTCACTTGTTCCTCTTCCCAGATTAAACTGTTTCTTGCACATTTGCACTGTCCTTCTGTAGGTTCTCTTCATATTTTCCTCCCCAAATCTACCACTTCTCTTTCAAAATTATTATTATTATTATTATTTGAGACAGGGTCTCATTCTGTCGCCTAGGCTGGACTGCAGTGGCGCGATCTTGGCTCACTGCATCCTCCGCCTCCTGGGTTCAAGCGATCCCGCTCAGTCTCCCGAGCAACTAGGACTACAAGCGAGCACCACCACACCGGCTAACTTTTGTATTTTTTGGTAGAGATGGGGTTTCACCATGTTGGCCAGGTTGGTCTTGAACGCCTGACCTCAGGTGATCCACCCGCCTCGGCCTCCCAAAGTGCTCGGATTACAGGCATGCGCCACCACACCCAGCCTCAAAATTGTCATTTTTTTTTAGGATAATTACTTGGCTTTTGTAAATCCTAGTTCTTTTTTATTTACTGCATGAAAACCCTTTCAATATGCATTTTTAAATTAAAAAAAAGAGAAGATTTAGTTTTAAAAATACAAGATGAGCCTGGAACCTCTGAAGGTGCCAGAAAGCAAGAGATGCTCAGAAAAGGGTGTGGGCATGTCACATAGACACAGGCACAACTCGAAAAGGCACCCAACAGCCAAACTAGCACAATCTGTACAACTAAACAAATAATGATAGAAGAGAAGTAAGAAATATCCATGCACTCATGCTGAGAGAGTAATTATTGGAAGATATAAATAAATGGAGGGTGGGCGTGTGGAAAGCTCTACTTAGAGAAGAATTCTAATTAATGAATGTAGAAGGAATGAAGGAAATGGACAATCTTTCTAGGCAAGTACCAGAAAAATAATGGTTGTAGGCAAGATCCGCTGATAAAATACTAAACTTTGTAGGCAAAAGTTTGAGAAGCTAGATATATGCATAGTCTCAAAGTGTCTTCTCCAAGATATTAATAAAATATAAATAGAAAAATATTACCATTACAGTGTAGAAGCTGGCAGGTACCACCTTCACTAAGGGAACGAGGATAACATTCACTGATAATATGATACATTTTCTTCATGAACCACCTCATAGGCTGCACTGAGAAAGGTACAGCATCACATCTGTGGTATTCTTGCCAAAAATGCAGAACCTCAACCTAATCCTGAGAAAAAAAATCACATCAACCCAAATGGAGGAACCATCTACCTGCCAAGACCATAAAAACAAGGATAGACTGAGGAAATGTTACATATTGGAGGAGACCAAGTGGACATGACAACTAAATGCAATGTAGGACCTCGAATTAGATTTGGGAACAGAAAAACAAACACTACTGGAAAAACTGGTGAACTTCAAATAAGGTAACTTTGTTAATAATATTGTATCAATATTAATATCCTTGTGTTGATGATTACAAGATGTTAACATCAGAGGAAACTGATGAGGGGCCACGTGGGAACTATACATGTATTATTTTTACATTTCTGTAAGTCTAAACTTATTCAAAAATAAAACTTATGTATATATCTATGCATGTATATTTATTAAACATGTTTTCTCTTGTTTAGTTACCTTCTATTTATTATTTTACTTACCAGTACAGAAAAGGTTGCTCAGTTTTCACACGCCTTATGCTGAACTCCACATTTGTACTTTAAAAACAGCAGCAGCAACAACAAAATAAAAGATTTCCTAAATACCTTATATATTACCTGTAAATGTGTAGCATGTTTTCTTGCTCACATCAGAGAACTGAACGTTTGGCGTTTTTATGGTCACCTTAATGTTCTATCAGTTTTTATTTTTGTGGTCGCCTTAATGTTCTATCAGTTTTTCAGAAACTGTTTTATAAAATGATGAAAAATGTTACTGATCTCTCCCTAAGTGGGGCAAACTCCACCCTTTTCCCCACCTTGAGTGACCAATTCTATGACACTGGTATTGTGACTGTGTGTGGCCTGTTGGGAGAGTGCTGAAGCTGAGAATGAAACTGTAGATGCAGAGAGGACAGACGCCTCCAGTGGTGAGAAAATCTTGACCTGATCACCCTACATAATAGCTCCATTGGATTGCTCCAATTGCACCCTGTGCTGATAGGTGTTCTGGTATCAACTGCTGCACTTTGAACAACTTTCTTGCTCTCCAGTAATTAAACATCTCTCATTCAGCATCTCTGAAGGTCAATAGTCCGATTACATAACAATTGGAGCATTGCTCTTGAATACTATTTATCTCTGTTATAAATGAGACAAGATGTAAATGTCTACAGAGGTATTTCAGCAGGAGGCAATTTGGACCTCCAGGAAATATTTCTCAATATTTGCAGATGGTTTTGATTGTCAGGACTGGGAAGGTGGAACTGGCATCTAGTGGGTAGAGGCCAAGGATGCTAGTAAACATCTTACAATGCGCAGAACAACCCACCACACAAAGAACTATCTGGTCCAAAATGTTATTATTGCTGAGGCTGAAGATCCCTCAATACACTAATGGCGCAGTTTGTTCAGGTACTAGTTAAGGAACTATGTCAGAGACATTTAGTCCTTAGAGAAACCTGCTAGTATCACACACATAGAGTCTTCACACTACTAAGCTTCCTTTTAAGATGGTTTTGCTAAAGATACAAGCTGTTCCACTGACCCAGCCTAAGTTTATTATAACAATAATAATAATAAATAACATTTATATAGAGCTTTAAACTATACTAAGGTCATGTGTTACCTCATTTGAACCTTGGCTTGGGATGCTATCACAGTGAGGTCATTCCAGGGTAAAGCCCATTAATCTTTTCTGTTGATATGTATCTAGGGGTCTTAGCAACAATCCCCACTCACACAGAAGGCACAAGGGCACGTAAGTTGATTCTCTAAACCGGCCTTCAAAAGCCTATTGTCCCCTGGAGTTAATAGACAAATAATGACCGTGGATTATGTATCTAATTAAGTTTTTGGCAATAAACAAAAGAAAACCAAATTAGATTGTTGCTATGAAGTGGCACAACAATGTTGACCCTAATTTTTCCATTTTGAGAAAAGTCAAGAAAAGAATTATGACTACTGTAAGAAGGGAGCTGTTTTCTATCTGATTTTTTTTTTTTTTTTTTTTGTATAATGTAACCAAACTTATTAGACTGGGAGAGGAGGTTAACTTTTCCTAAAATCATCTCGATTTTTAATTATCATTCTAGTTTTTTCAGCTAACGCTAAATGCTAATGATTTTCAAATGGATTTCCATAATCATGTTACCAATAGCCTGTAACAATCTCAAATTCAATGTCATCAAAACCCAATGAATGTCTCCCACTTCTTCCTATACTCCTTTTTCTCTTTTCCTTTGAGTTCTATCTTGATAGTGCAGTCCAACAGTGCATGAAACCTTAGAACGCTCAACAATTCTTTTTTTTATTTTTGAGACAGAGTATCCCTCTGTTACTCAGGCTGGAGTGCAGTGGCATGATCTTGGCTCACTGCAGCCTCCACCTCCCAGGTTCAAGCGATTCTCTTGCCTCAGCCTCATGAGTAGCTAGGATTAAAGGTGCCCGCCACTATGCTTGGCTAATTTTTGTACTTTTAGTAGAGATGGGTTTTCACCACGTTGGTCAGGCTGGTCTCAAACTCCTGAGTTCAAGCGATCTGCCCTGCTTGCCCTCCCAAAGTGCTGGGATTACAGGTATGAGCCACCAGGCCTGGCCAACAATTCTTTCCTTTTACTGTCTTCCTAAAATTGATCAAAATTGATCTGAAAAATCTATTTTTGTTTTTAGATTTTTATAATTACTTTTAAATTACGGTAAATATATATATAACACAAAATTTGCCATTTGAATAGCTTTTAAGTATACAATTTAGCACCATTAATTATATTGAAAATATGGTGCAAGTATTACTGATATCTAGTTGCTAAACTTATGTATCACCCCAAATAGGAACTGTATGCCGGTAAGTCTAAACTTATTTAAAAATAAAACTTGTGTATATATCTATGCGTGTATATTTCTTAAACATGTTTTCTCTTGTTTGGTTACCTGCTATTTATTATTTTACTTACCAATAAAGAAAAGGCTGCTCAGTTTTCACACACCTTAAGCTGAACTCCACATTTGTACTTTAAAAACAGCAGCAGCAGCAGCAACAAAATAAAAGACTTCCTAAATACCTTATATATTACCTGTAAATGTGTAGCATGTTTTCTTGCTCACATCAGAGAACTGAACATTTAGAGTTTTTATGGTCACCTTAATGTTCTATCAGTTTTTCAGAAACTGTTTTTTAAAATGATGAAAAACATTACTCATCCTCCCTAAGTGGGGCAAACTCCACCCTTTTACCCCCGGGAGTGACCAATTCTATGACATTGGTATTGTGGCTGTGGCCTGTTGGGAGAGTGCTGAGGCTGAGAATGAAACTGTAGATGCACAGAGGACAGACACCTCCAGTAACCTCTAATCTACCTTCTGTCTTTATGAATTTGCCTGCTGTAGCTATTTCATAAAGGTGAAATCATACAATGTTTGTCCTTTTGCGTCTTCTGGCTTGTTTTGCTTAGCATAATGCTTTTTCATCCATGTTGTACCATGTATCGATTCTTTCATTTTATGCTAGAATAATAGTCCTTTATATACATTCGTATTACAATAACTAAAATACTAAAACAAAATAAAATCCCGACAATTCCAATTGCCGATGAGGATGTGGAACAACTGAAATTTTCATCCATTGCTCATGGGAATACAAAATGGTACTTCCTACTGGCAGTTTTCTATAAAGTTAAACATGCCTTTATTATTGGACAGAGAAATTCCATTCAAATCAAATGAAAACGTAAATTCACACCAAACCCTCTACTCAAATGTATGTAATAGCTTTATTCACAATTGCCAAAAACTAGAAATAAACTAAATGTTCCTTAACTAGAGAATAGATACACAAGCAATGGAGTATATTCGGCAAACTACCGATACGCACAGCAACATGGATGAATCGCAAATGCGTTATGTTATATGAAACATGCCAAACTTAAAAGTCTACATATTATGATTCCATTTATATGACATTCTGTTAAACAAAACTATACCAACCAGTAACAGGTCATAGTTGCCAGGAGTGAAAGATGGAAGTGGATTTGACGACATGATATTAATTAAAACTGAGAAACTTCTACAGGACAAATTGGCACATTTCTTCAAAACATAAACGATATAGAATTGTGGGGTATGGAAAGAGGATCTGTTATTGCTAAAATTTATAGACACATCAACCAAAAACAATGTGTCAACCTTATAACCTGATCATATCAACAGTTAGAAGACATGTTTAAGAAACCGGGGTGATCTGAATATCAGACAGCATTAAGCAATTCGGATTGAACCATCAGAACCAATGACCAGATGGTATCCTCAAAAAAGGTCTCAGGTGGACTAACTACTTTAGGCTTCTGAATATTCTTAACAAATCCTGGTTGAAAATATAAAAAGCAGGCTTAGAAAAATTTTTGATGAAGCTAAGCTAGGAAGAATATCTGTACAAGCACAAAGCCAAGCTTTAACATGATATTGAGGGGCTAAAGTGCTGGATTCAGGCAAAAAATCTACATAAGAGAAAAAAGTATAATCTTATATACCTAATGGAAAGAGCTGAATAATTTGTTTAACTTTCCCAAACCTGAGTGTCTTCTATTATGTAATAGATGGACCTGACTAGGCTTAAGTCTCTTGTAGGTAATGAGATTACTTGATCTCCTAAAGCTAAGTGACTGTGTAGTCAAATTGGCCGCCAAAATGTGGAAGTTATACCAGTGAAAAAGTGAAGCAAAAAGGGGCAGAGGTGGCGGTCATGGGAGCTGAATGGACAGGAGCCACGTAAGCAGCATTTAGTGGAGGCAAAAGAGTCAATTGTGGTTGAAGAGATGGTCGTGGCTCAGCAGGCTGAGATGGAACTACAGGTAGAGGAGGTAGAAAAAGGAGGGAAAGGGAAGGCAATAGAGACCCTTTTGTACTGGTGTCTGCCCTCCTGGGACATTTCTCCTCCCTTGTGATCATCTATTTCTGCATTGATAGGAAGACACATTATCTGTGGAGAATAAAGCAAAACAAAACAAAAAATCCCCCAAATCTTGAATAAATTTTGTTCATTTTACTAGATATGATAATACCAAGGTGATTTTATTTGTTTAAAAAGTCCTTATTTGTTAGTAATAAGCTCTGAATTTTTTGTTGTTAAAAAACTATTATACCAAGAATTTGCTTTAAAATTTGTAGCAAAAGCAATGTGAAGGGAGATATTAACAAAGCAAGAATAACAATATGGCTAATTATTATTCCTTTTTAAAAACTGAATAATAATTGTCAATATAGTGTATAGTGTATTTTGATACCTATACACAATATGTAGTAATCAAATCAAGGTAATTAACATATCCATTGCCTCAAATGTTTATCATTTCTTTATGTTGAGAACATTCAAAATCCTCTTCTACCTATTTGAAAACATACACTATATTGTTAACTATATCACCCTACAGTGCTGTAGAACACTAGAACTCATTCCTCCTATCTAGCTGTAATTTTGTATCCATTATCTCTCCCCTTCCTCTACCCTTTACCTTTCCCAGCTTCTAATAACCACAATTCTATTCTCTGCTTCTATGAGCTCAGCGTTTTTAAGCTCCCACGTATGAGTGAGGACATATGGTATTTATTTTTCTTAGCATATGCCTGACTTACTTCACTTAGCATATGTCCTCCAGCCTTATCCATATTGCTTTGAATGACAGGATTTCATTCTTCTTTATGACTGAACAATATTCCATTGTGTATACATACACCACATTTTCTTAATCTGTTGATGGACACTTAGATTGATTCCATATCTTGGCTATTGTGAATAGTGCTGCAATAAAGATGGAGGTGTAGAAAACATTGCTAATTATTAAAACTAGGTGATTACTAGAGGAGTTTTCTGGAATGTTCAAAGAAAACATACCTAATATATTCTTAGTTTTAATTGTATCCCTAATAAAAAATTACAATAGCTGTTGTATCCATTTATGGAGACAAAAGTGACTGCATCTTGGATGCTAATCCACCATGTTGACTTCTGATTACTCCCAGTCCTGAGAATGCCTCCTGATTCCTACTTTATTTACTGTCCCTAGTTAAGAATATGTCATCCTTGATGTTATTGCACAAATTATAGGCTATGGTGCACACAGTATTCTTGCCTGTTCTGGAGGGTTGCCTTTAATTGCCTTGTACAGAGCATTTATACATTTCTGTATGGTATATGAGCCCTGGGTCTGGGAGTAAAGGTGTCCTGTGGCCACCCAAGACCACTGCTTCAGTCTGTAAGTTCCCCCAATAAAATATCTTTTACCAATAAACTAGATTTGTTTGCCTCATTCTTTGGTTTCTTCGCTCCTTTGGCATTTGGTGGCTGCTTTTATAGACGGGCCTCTCACCAAACAGCATTTGAAGGAACTAGCATTGTTGAGTACCTCTATATATGAGGTATGAAATAGTTTATTTTATTTAGCCATTATACACACACACAAAGGAAGCTGGGTATATTGGATGCAAATGTTATTATACATGTCCACAATTCTCTGGGCACCAGCCACCTTCCAGAACCTCAGCTACTCTCTGTCTCAGCCACTTCCACACAATGCCAACTCTGCTCCGGCTCACGCCCACCTCCTGGGGCTGACGGTTACTTGTCCCATGAATGCTGGAACTTCCCTTTTGGCCACCACAAAGCAGCCAGGCAGACTCATCTGGAGTTCTGACTCCTCCAGCCACTCAAGGACTTCAGTGAAATGTCACACCACAGGACTTGGCATATGGCATTCCAAGATGCAGCTGAAGGGGCCAAAGGATGTCACTAGATGGTGCAGGGAGGTAAAGTCCACGGAGGCAAACTCCGGCCAGTGGGAAAGAGATGTGTGAAGCTCAGCCAATTGTATTCCCTTTTCCTCCTTGGATGCATGGATTATCTTTTTAACCATCCAGGAAATCTTGTGCCAAGTGGATACAGCTGCTGATTACCACGCCTCTCTATATCCTTTTGCCTCATGTTTCTTCTTTCTCTTACTTGCTGCTCCAGATTTTTGCCCTCCTACCCCCCAAATTAAATATTGATGGTTTCATCCTGGCCATAGGCTTTGTTTTCTAGGGAATGTAGGCTAAAACAGTTGGCACGGATAGTCCCATTTTACAGATGGGGATCAGGTTAGTGAAACTCAGAGAAGTTGAGTCACATAAATAGCAAGGGCAGGCCAAGTCCAGCCTAAATCCTAGGTCTGTCTGGCTTTCCTCATCATCCCATACTATATCTGCACCCGAGACAAAAAAGTTTTGTCTTTCTTAAGGCCATAAAGTAACAAAGACAGGATTAATATGGTGATGTCCTGAAGCCTTTCCATTACGTCAGAAAGCACAGTTACAAATACAATGGGCAAACTTAAAAATGGTAATGTCATTAATACATTCAAAAAGCGTATAAAATCCACTAATATATTTCAGGAGGGGAAAAAAAAAGGCTTTGATTAGGCAGAGATCCAAAACCAAACACAAGAATCTATAATGTTCCCAAGGATTTTAATCTTGTCACATTCTCCTCCTCGGTCCCAATCTTCTCTATGCCAAATACTCCATTACCAAAATTAGATTAGCCATGCATAGAAGCATTTTCCATGAATATAGATACAATTGGAATCCAGAAATATCTTGTGGTATTGGTTATAAATTGCAGGCTTCTACTTTATTACTTTTGTTAATTATAGTTATGTAATCATTTTAAAATAAGTAATACACTTACATGGCCCCAAAAAAATTCACTTTAAAATCTCCATCTTATCCTGATCTCAGCTCTCCTGCACCCCTAAAATACTGTTGTGTATCCTTCTAAAAGGAAGGATTAAGTTGGCTACTTGAAATCCACTCACTTTTGGATTTTTTTTTTTTTAGGGGACATGTCCCCAGGAGAAAGGCAGGGAATCTAGTCTAACTTCCAAGTCATCTGGACCTCAAGATAAACAGACTTAACTGATATTTGTAGGAGGAAGAGGCATTATCTCTGAAGGGCCATTAGAAGGCAGTCCTGGCTTAGGATAGCCCATAGTAAATAGAACCCTGAATCACTCAGGAGGGGGAGCTCCCAGGAGTTCAAGTAGGCTAGGCATGGGCAGTATCCAGGTCTATAATGGAAATGCTTCACAGTTCTGTAATTTCACCAAAAGAAAGGCTTTCTAGGTGACAGCACCTGTGGAGCCACCATGACTCCCCAGGCCTCTCTGCTGCATCTGAGTGTTTTAATTGCATAGGCCCTTGCCATTCCTAAATAAAGCATGCTGTAGGGAAATGTATCTCTGATTCGTGACAGTCTGTATGTTACCTGGACTCCTAAAGGATGATTAAGCTTATACATACATACATGCATACATACATACATACATACATCATACATACATACATACATCATACATACATACATACATCATACACACATACATCATACATACATACATACATCATACATACATACATACATCATACATACATACATACATACATCATACATACACACATACATCATACATACACACATACATCATACATACATACACACATACATCATACATACATACATACATACATCATACATACATACATACATCATACATACATACATCATACATACATACATCATACATACATACATCATACATACATCATACATACATACATAAATCATACATCATACATACATCATACATACATCATACATACATCATACATACATACATCATACATACATACATCATACATACATACATACATACATACATACTTTTATTCTTTTCCTAACCCTTTTTACACCAATGGTGGTATAGTATAAATACTGTTCTATAATTTGATTTTTTTTTCCTGTTAATTTGAAAATCTTACAAAAGCTAAAAAGAAAAGACAAAAGGAGAGTCCATCACTTATAATACTACCAAAATATTTGTCCTTGTGCTTTTTACATATTTTGCTTTAAGTTTCAGAGACAAATGAGGTGACTACAAACTTCATTAGCAAAGATGCATGGAAACAGGTACTTTCGTACATTGCTTACAGGGGCATAATTGAGACAAACTCCATGGAGCACCATTGCTGTGGAGCACCTGGCTGTCAAAATTAAGATGCATATTTCCTTGAAGTCAGCAATTCTACTTCTAGAAAACTATTCTACAGATGTACTTACAAATATGCAATGCAGTGTATGTACAAGATTTTCCTTGCAACATTATTTACAGGAGTAAAAGCTTAGAAACTACCTAAATGCCATCAATGGAAAATTGATTCAATTAGTCATAAATACATAGAAGCCATTAAAAAATGAGGAAGCTTTTTGTGTCCTGATGTCAAAATGTCTACAAAATGAGCTGGGTGTGACGGCTTACGCCTGTAATCCCAGTATTTTGGGAGGCTGAGGTGGGTGGATCACCTGAGGCCAGGAGTTTGAGAACAGCCTGGCCAACATGGTGAAACCGTCTCTACTAAAATTACAAAAAATTCTCCTGGCGTAGTGGCATATGCCTGTAGTCCCAGCTATTCAGGAGGCTGAGGCAGGAGAATCGTCTGAACTCAGGAGGGAGAGGTTGCAGTGAGCCGAGATCGCACCACAGCACCACTCTGTAGCCTGGACTACAGAGATTCTGTCTCAAAAAAAAAAAAAAGAAAAAGAAAAAGAAATGTCTACAAACTGTATTAGCTACAGCACACACTACAATGTTTTTTGTTAACCACTAGGAAACCTTTTAATTTCATTAACCACTAGCAAGCTGTTGGTGTATACCCTTCAACTATTTTTTCTTTCTGATTAAACATATATTTTTCCAACATGATATCACACTAAATGGGCTATTTTATAACCTATTTATTATAATTTCCTAAATGATCAACATTATATCATGTTAATAAACTTCAACAACACGAATTTCAAATACTTTAATTAAAGGAAAATCCAAATATTGGAATGTATACAAACCACAAGCATGTAGCTCGATAAATTACGAAAGAGTGAACAACCCACTTCAGAACATCCATGATAACCCTACATCCTCTCTCTTAACTTGTTCACGAATTCACAGTGTTTGAAATAGAATCCCATATTAACAAGTGGAAGTGTTCGATATATATTCTAAATCTTGTCTTTTGGAGACTAAAAAATAGTTTTCATTAGCAATAGAAGGAGAGCTATGGCTTTAATTTCTGTCAATAAATTAACTGCAGCTTATTTTACTATGCTCTTCTTAATAAAACCTCAGCTGATCATTTGCAAATATGAACTTATGAGATGTCTATGACATATGTGAAGCTGAAGTTATCCATATAAACTCACATGACTAAAAGTCATAAAGGCCTGTGATGAATTAAAGCCACAAACAATATTCAAATATCTTTTATATGGTTGACACTGGGCTGTAGGCTGCACCTACAAACTTTATTATTCAGTACATCTTCAACAAGGACATTTCTAAGTCACCTAAAAGATAGTGATTTGAAGGAAGTAATTTAAAAAGATGTCCAAATACTAAATGATGCTTTAAAAAACAGTACATTTTGTGGAAATCATGTTTCTTGGAAACCTACTAGTCCATAGAAAATTGATAGGTGTATTATTGAAGAAAAAAATTAATCAAGAGGATAAAATAACCTAGAAAATCTTCAGAAATACAAGTAAAATTTGCCAAATCGGTACACATAATTGCTCTTGTTAGCGTGCCATAATTCACCTTTATAAATGGTGTGGTCTATCCATGTATAATAGGAAGCCCACGAGGCTCATGTTTATCAGTGTTCCCAGCTTTCCACTTGGCTGCTGAAGTGAAGTCTGTTTTGTCTTCTTCAGTCTCTTCTCTCCCATCCTTGAGAGAATGTGTAACTTCAGTGGCTCTTGTTGAAGGAAGAGAGGAACAAGAGACCAAGGTCTAAGAAAAGTGTTATGTTTTTTAGGGGTGTGTGTGTGTATGTGTGCATGCATTAGAGAAAGACTTAAGAACAGCTTTGATGTAGAAGGTATTGGGTAGGAAAAGAAATAGAATTTTATTTTATTTATTTATTTATTTATTTTAAGAAGCACTATGTGGCTTAAGTGTCCCTTTCAAAAGACTTGAGAAATACAAGTATTTTGAGATTACTTTTGAGTGTGGCATTGTATTCTTGCAACGGGATGAAACCACATGATTTATAATTCTTCATGCATCATAAATGCAAAATCTGAGCTTTAATACATAAGGAACATTTATTAACAAACTGATGTATGCCGATTAAATATTGAAATTCAGCATGCATTTGTCATATTCAGGATTTCATGTTTATAAAACGCTAGACTAAACACATTCTTTGTCTTGGATCTTTGAATGAAAGAAGAAAGTTTTAAATAAACAAAATACACTTTATTTTACAAACTGAAATTGAAGAAGTGTTTGATAGTGAAATATGTTCAGGAAACACTAATTTATAGTCTCATTCCATTTCTGCAGATATGTTTCCACAAAAGTGGTTAATTGATTAAACAATTTTAGCTTGCTATATTTGAGTGTTTCTAAGTGTTAGCATACTTAACATATTTTTCTTTACAACCTGAAGAAACCATATCCAATTCTTCAGTAGTCCTCCATTTTCAGATATTTTACCACTCATTTCTATAAGACATGTAAGGAAAAAAATGCAATCTTAACCAACTCTTCCATAGAATTTATTGCATGAGACTTGCATATTCTTGATATCGAAACACAAAGAAGCCAGAAAAATAAAGGAAAATTAAGACTCATTTCCAGTCATTAACATAATGCAAAAATCTTAGACCAAATATTGGCAAATTGCATCCAAGAATTTATAAAAGGGATACAGCATCATAACTAAACTGCTATTCTCACCTCCTTTTCTCTGGAATGATAGGTTACTTTAACATTAGAATGTCTGCTAATATAATTCAACACAGTAACCATTTGAAGGAAAAAATATGATATTTTTAAAAGGTGCAGAAACAGTGTTCGATAAAAGTCAACATTTATTCCTGACAATAATTCTAGGGATAGACAAGAATTGCTTAAACTGATTAAAGAGCATCTATGAAAAACCTACAGTAAATGTCATACTTAACATGAAAACATTGAAAATCTTCCCTTTGATATAAAGAACTACACAATAATGCCACTACCACCTTTTCTAGTCAACTTTATACTAGAGGTCTTAAAGCGGTAAGGGAAGAATAAGAAGTAAATGGTATAAAGATGGGAAAGGAAGACTCATTATTCGTTTAGAATATATTTGTGTATGTAAAGAATCTAAAAGAGGCTTGTGTAACAAGTTACCACAAACCTAATGGCTTAAAAACCACACATTTATAATCTCATTGTTTATGGATCACAAGCCAAGGAGAATATAACAGGGTTCTCTGCTCATGACCTGAGTTGACCTGGGTGTTCTCATCTGGAGCTCAGGGGCCTTTTCCAAGTTCATTCATGTTGTTGGCAGAAATCAGTTTCTTGTGGTTGTAGGACTGAGGTCCTCAGCTGTTAGAGGCCATCTCTCTCCATAGCAGTTCACAGGGTTGTTGCTTGCTTTTCAGGGTTAGCAGAAGCTCTTTTTTCAGGAAGAGCCCATTCACTCCTTAAGAGCTCTTAAGTGATTAGGCCAGGCCTGTCCAGAATAAGCCCGTGTTGATTAGCTCAAAGTCAGCTAATTAGAGACCTTAATCACATCTGCAAAATCCTTTCTTCTTTGCCACACAGCTAAACCTATTCATGGAGTGACATCCCATCATACTCACAGGCCCTGCCCACACGCAAAGGGAGTGCCCACCAGAGAGCAGAAATCTTAGGGATCATCTTAGAACTCTTCTGGCCACAAAGCTTCAGACAATTTTTTAAAAATTAGTAAGAGTTTAGCAAGATTGGTGTTTACAAAACTTATATACATATACAAAAACATTTGTATTTTTATGTACCAGAAATACAGTTTGAAAAAAATGATAAAAAGACCATTTAAAATAGAATTAAAAGTTGAATAATTAGTAGTTAATATGACAAATAATTGTATAATCTATATAGAGAAAATATAAAACTTTAATGAAGGACGTTAAGGTGTATTAAAAGGAGTACTCTACCTGAATTTATATAACCAATGTAACCCCAATAAAACTAATAAGCAATTTTTGTTTGTTTGATTTTAGGATTAGCTAAAATGAAATAATTCTAAAATGTATATGAAAAAATAGAAAAGAACACCCAAGGAACTAATAAAGAAGACAGACAAAGGAGTACAATTTTATCTATCAGATATCAAAATGTGCCATGAAATATACTAATTAAAACAGTATTGTGTTAGTACAGGAAAGACAAATAGTTCAACGAAACAAAACAGACAACTCAGAAATTGAATTACATATGTACCAACAGACTACGACAGAGTGGTAGATTACTAGGGAAAGTTACTACAGTTCACTAAGTGTTTCTGGTACAACTGGGGACCCATTTGAGAAAAGATTAAATTAAACTCCTACTTCACAGTATTAAAAAGTTAAAGAGTGAAAAGGCCTGAAAAAATAAAGGCACAATTGGAAAACTTTTAGGGATAATATAGGAAAAGTAGCTTTGTAGCCTTACATTAAGGAAAAAAAAATTATTAAATAGGTCACAAAAGGTACTAACAAAAAGAAAAGTGTAGGTAAATACATTAAAAACTTTAAGAAATTGTATTAATCAAAATGACATCTAGGGACTGGTGATTATTAGAGAGCAGAAAACATTATTGAGGCAAATTTTTCATACACTGAAGTTGTTTTTCTTGTTTCCTTAATGTACAATTTGAGGCACACAATTGGTATAGAATATTATACCAATATTTCATTTCCATTTACTCTTACCTTAAAATTGACACATGCCAGTCTCCCAATATCATGTAATCAGAAAGTATAATAAAAAAAAAAATGAAAGGGGGAAATAATTACAAAACGTAAGCTGTTGTGATTTGAGTCCACTGAAGATTTTACAATAACAGCATGGCTAGTCCTAATCACAATTGCTTTAACCCCAAAAGGAATCATCCAACAAACTGTATTGGTATAAAATGTATATTTCTGATCAGCAGTATGTATGAACTGCTTTTCATATACATATGTCATTTGTTTTTTGTTCTTCTATAAGTAATATTCCATATTTTTCAGCTGGTTTGAATATCTTTTTCTTAATTATTTGTAGAACTTTTTGAATTTCAGTGACACTAAACCTTTGAGTGCTATCTATAGTTCAGATCATTTCACCTGGTTTGACTTTGCTTGATGTTTTTTTAATTGTGTGGCAAATTTCCTAAAGCCCTTTTATAGCTTCTGTGTTTCATATGTTACGTAGGAAGGCTTTGCCCACTAGATGATTATATAATTATTTTCCAAACACTTTTCCAAGAGCAGTTTAAATTTTGTGCTCTTTCATTAGTGGATCTAGAACTTATTTTGGATATAGATTGAGGTAGAGATATACTTTTTTTCTTAATGAAGAGGAAATTGTTCTAACACTATTGTATATTAGTCGAATTTCTCCCACTGGTTTGAAATGTCATGTGTGAACATTATTATGTTCATCAATATTTAGTTCCCATGTTAGACCATCTTTTCTTTCTTTTAGGCGAGGTCTTATGATTAGTTCTGGCCAATGGCCTATGAGCTGGATTGCTAGGTGTTACTTGTGGATAAGAAAGAAAAAGCTTCTTGCCGCCTTTTATATTTCTGTGATCATGGAAAAAGTTTCATGTTGCGACAGCAGAGATACAAGATTTAAGCAATGTGTATTGTGTAGACCCTCCCCAAGTTATAGTTTCCCTACAGAACCTCTTCGTCCCAAAGTCAATTTTGCACAAAAGAGAACTTAGCTTTTTGAGTTAAGCCTCTGAGATTTTAGGGGTTGTTTTTTTACTGCTGCCTAAGTCTATCTTATCCTGACTAATATACCACCTTTAACCTATCTAAATACCCGTAAGCGTATGGTTTTGTTTTTTGAGTCTTCATTCTGAACCATTCATTTATTTGCTTCTTCTCATGTCAATACCTCCCTCTTCAATTGTAACTTTATAGCAGATTTTAATATCTAAGAGGGCCAAGACCTACATCATTATTCGTTTTCAAAATCCTGTTGGCTGGTTTTAAGCATTATTTTTAAGGTAGATCTTTAGAATTCTATAGAAGAGAACTTGGTGAGATTTGCAATGGTATTGCATTAGATTTATAGATTTATAGATTAATTTATGATAATTGTCATATAAGGTCCTGCAGTTTTTTCTATGTCTTTTATATTTCTATTAGTTTTTTGAAACATAAGGGTTTTTTTTTGCTATTGAATGAGATCTTTGTCTACATTACATTTTAAAATTAATTCTAAGCAGTGTACAGGAAAATAATTGACTTGTATGTTTCTCTTGCATGTAACTGCTCTTTTCCTCAGCTCATTTATTAGTTCTGAAAATAATTAGATGATTTTCTTGCACCATGACATTGTCCTGGGGTTGCTTCTTAGAGGCTTATCAAGTCTTCTGGATTTGTCTCTAGGCACAAGCCTGGGTGCAATTCAGTGTATTTTCATCATTCATGGTTTCTTCTACCATCTGTTCTAGGAAATATTACTGTGTCCTATTTAAATTCTCCATTCTACCTCTTGTTCCTGTAAGGCATTTAGCAAATCTGTTTGTGTAATTAAATTTTTGTACTATTATTACTTTATGGACTAATTTTACAGCATTGCTTAACTTATTTAATATTTCCATACTGGTTTTACCATCTTCGTTAGGAAAACCATTGTATAACTATACCCTATTATTACAGAGTTTGTAATCTGAATACCATCTCCTTATCTTTCATTGATTATCCTCTTAATATCAAGTCCTGACCTACTTTTATCAAAGGCATTGTCTATAGCTATGTATTAAAATTTTCTACCATTAGAATATAAGTTTTATCCCTCTTGGTAAATCGTTTTCCTACTCCATTATTCAAGGGTAAAATAGGTGTGTTTACATAATTCTCAACATACACTTTTGAATCTTTTTTTCAATAAGCTTAACAAAAATTCTGTAACATTTAATGAACACTTAAATACCAAGGCATCAATCCATCTACCCGCCCACAGGCTTGAAAATCATTTTCTCCAATACCTTTGCATAAGATGCATCTTACAGGACCTACTCACAGAAGGTAAAAACGGAGAGGCAGTTCTTACTCTGCTCTCTGAAAATATCACCTCCCCTCCAAAATAAAGAACTCTCAGCTGTTCATAAATAAGTATTCAAAGGAAGGCAGTGAGTTAGTCAAAATAGGCTAGACTATGCTTCAGTGACAATTCCAAATTTTCAGAGTGGCTTTTTGATAGTATGGCTGCAATTTATTTTGCTGCTTCTTATTAAAGGATAGTCTAATTCCTCTCCCCTTCAGTCTGGTGTGTCTTCAGTGCCTTGACTAATAGAATGAGGTAGAAACGACACTCTTAGACTTCTAGAGCAATGCAGTTTCCACCTTCTGGGAACTCTTGCTCTAGAGAAATTAAGTATGACAGCCCTCAAACTGCCATGCTGAAGGAAGCCGAAGCCAGCCACATGGAGAGACTGCGTGGATAAGAGCAATGCCTGTGCAGTCCCCAGCTGTTCCAGCCAGCCTACACTAAGTGCCAGATGTGGGTGCAAGGGACTTCAACTAATTCTGGCCTCGGCCTCCAGGGGTCTGCCACCATATAAAAGAGTACAAGCAAATATAGCCCAGCTGAGCTCTTGAACCCCCAAAACCATGAGAGGTGAGTTTTGGGATGGTTGATTAGGCAGAAATAGTTAACCTGAATAATCTCTCATAGTGAAAACGTATTTCTTACCTTTGTAAAGTCCTTTTAAGAATCCTGGGAACCACCCAATGCTGCTATTCTCCACCAGGCAGCTCAGCAATTCAGGCTGCTCTGGTCTTGTAGACTCTTAGATCATGATCTTTTCTCTAAAATTTCCACAGCAGGAGAACAGAACACTGGGACATTTTGTGCCGGTGATTAAATACTTCAGCCTGGAAATGATACATACCCACCCCTTCCATTTGTAGCCCATTGGCCAATTCATATAAATATGACTAACTTCTGAGGGGTGTAGGAGCATCCTCCTCTGTGGGGCAGGGAAAGAGAGGGGGACTAGATAGGATCTACCACACTCTTCTTCCCCTCTCTCCTGCTAATGATGTTACCTCATCAGAGGCCTAGGAATTCCTTTGCCTACTAGGAACCACATATTTTTGTGTAATCATAGCTGCCCTGCAGTGCCACCATCACTCTGGGGGAAAAAGCCTTTTCTCCTAGTACCAGGTACCAATCTTCTTAAACCTGTAAATCCACGTTTTAAACATAAACATGGATCACACACTGACCTAGCATAGCATTACAGCATAACAAATTGCCCCAAATCTTAGTGGCTTGATATTATGTAACAACATTGATTACCTCACAGTTTCCGTGGGTGGAGGTCCCAGCTAAGCTAAGCTTTGCCCCCTGGTTCTGGGTCATTTATAAGGCTCACCCGTCTCAAGAGCACTGGTGACAGATTTGCTTCTAGGTCACTCATGTGGTTGTTTGAAGATCCAGTTCTTTGAGGGCTGTTGGGCTGAGGTCTCAGTTGCTTAGGCTGCAGACCTCCCTTGTCACATGGAGCTCTCCACACAGAGTCGCAGAGTGAGTGTGCAAGAGGAAAAGAAGTTTCCAGCAAAATGGAAGTCTCAGGTTTTTGTAACCTTAACAAAGAAGTGATAATCCATCAGTTTTCCCATCTTCTGTTAGAAGTGGGTCACCAGGCCCAACCCACACTCAAGAGGAAAGGATCACACAAGGGCCTGAATACCAGGAGGGAGAGATCTTGGGAGGAGTGCCAGAAGCTGTCTATCCCAAGTACATCTATGGGATGGGTATTCTGCAATACAGGGGACACAAAGATATATAAGGTAAAGCCCTTGACCTTGAAGAGTTTTTAGTAGTGGTTGGAGGAGTGAGGGTAGAGGGTGATAGCTACATATAAATGCATTATACTATGAAAGGTATGTGGTGAAGTTATTGTATTAGTCCATTTTCACGCTGCTGATAAAGACATACCCGAGACGGGGTAATTTATACAGGAAAAAGTGTTTATTCAACTCACAGTTCCTCATGGCTGGGGAAGCCTCACAATCATGGTGGAAGGCACGGAGGAGTAAGTCATGTCTTACGCGGATGGCAGCAGGCCAAAAGAGAGACAGCTTGTGCAGGGAAATTACCATTTTTAAAACCATCAGATCTCATGAGACTTATTCACTATCACGAGAACAACATGGGAAAGACCCGCCCCCATGATTCAATTATCTCCCATGGGGTCCCTCCCACAACACGTGGGAATTAGGGGAGCTACAAAATGTGATTTGGATGGGGACACAGAGCCAAACCATATCAGTTATACAGAAGAGCAATTGGATCTGAGAAGAGACAGCAGCTCATTCTGCATGAGCTATCAGAGGTACAGTGTGGACTACATGACAGAGACTGAATGATTCACTGGACAACTGGAGAAGAGTGTTCTAATCAGAATGAAGGAGCAAGGAGACACTGAAGTACACAATGTGCTTTGGGAATGGGGAGTAGCTTTGTGTTACTAGGACACAGGGAACTCTGGGAATAGTGGAATGTAAAGTGGGCAAAACTGAAGCTGGGCTGTGAGAGGCATTGTGTATCATGCTAAGTGAAGTTAACTTTAGTATAAGAAAAATAGACATTACAGCGTATTGTTGCCTCCAAATAATAATATTAGTGTTGGCAATATTGTGGCAAAAACCACAATTATGTTTGCACCAACCTAATATGTAAGCTTTTTGAGTTAGAATATGTGCTAGGCATTATTCTTATCTCATATAATCTTCACAGCCACCTTTTGGAGCAGGTTCTATTACTACCCGCATTTTAAGAGAACTTTGGTGTGGACTAGTTTTAGCCCCAAATCACATGGCTAGGAAGTGTCAGGGCTAAGATGCCAATCATGGTCTGACAGCAACAGGTCCCTTACCCTGGTCTGTGACTCCTTACGGCAAGGTCAGTCCCATACTTCCTTGCTACTTTCTTCCTACCATCCTTAGTCTGAAGGCTAAGACTTCAGTTTTTGTTAAAGATAGGAAATGCTTTGGTAATGGCTGTCTTTCATGCTGAAGATGCTCTCTCTCCTTTTAGCTTTTCATTTTGTAAATTTTCCAACATATGCATGAGTAGGTAAAGTAGCAAAATGAACTTAGCTTCAACACTGACTGATGTTGCACCACTTTTCTTTCACCTATCTTCTTTCCATTCCCTACATTTTATTTCTGGAGCATTGTAAAACAAATTCTACACATCATTCTATCATGAAAGTGATAAAATGACAGAATTCCTGTTTATGAGTCACTTCTTTTTACAAGCACAGTAAAATGTTTTCCATTGAGTTTATGGAATTGATATGTATGTACTTAATAACAGTGAGTCTTAGTAGCATTCATTGCAAAGACATTTTCTTAAATTTCAATAGTTTGTAAACCCTTGAGTGTTTTATTTTAATGATAAGGGCTAGGTCCACATAGTTTTTAGCTAATACTAATTAATGCATAATGCAGGCCAGATCTTCTCTTCAGGCAAAATTAACTTCCCTCTCCTATAAGTATTGATTGAAATTTGCTCTCATGTGCCCTGAAGTACTTTTAGTCTTATTGCTGTCTTTGTTTTAAGCCGAGGGCAGAAACCACATCCTTTTCATGGTCTATTAACCACATTACCGAGGTTCATGGTTTGCACAACTAGTAAACACATACAAAGCACCCTTTGAGAAAGCTTCCTCATCCTTTAATTGTAATCCAGTCTTATATATTAACGGTGTGGTGGTCCCAAGGTACAGATTCATCTAATGTGACCTGGAAAGAAATTTGGAAATCACTTAAGGCTACCCTCATTTTAGATCTGACAAAACTGTAGTCAAGAGAAATGTGAGGTCCATTTTACTGCAGGTGGCAATAGTCTTAATTGACTCATTTTATCGGCTAGTACCCATGTTTTTAAGAGTTTCTATGAAATTAACATTTTTTGTAAAAAAAATGCAATTGCATAGGCTAGTTTCATCAATATCCTAAATTAGTGATGCTTCAATATACACATGCAGAGTACTTAAATTTTCCTCTCTCTTCAGCAGGAGATACTCACCACGTCCCTCCATTTTTCATTAAACATACGTGTACCTTGCAGCCCGTTGCTTTTATATTTGCTATCATTGAAGAGGGGATGGATTTTAAAATTACTGGCCATGTTTCCCTTTAGAGAAGCCCACACGCGCCAACCCTGCCCTTATTGGAGCCTGGGCAGCAGCGGTGCATGTTCTAACTTAGGCAACGTTGGGTCATCTGTTTATTGTCAGCTTGGCGGTCAGGAAGAAAGGGCGGTGGTTGCTGAGGTAACCGACACCCCGGGCAACGGCAAGTGGAGGCGGGAGGGGGCGTGGCCTCGACGGGCAAGCGGCGATAAGAGGTGGCGTCCTCCGCGGCATTGCGAGCACCGCCAGTCTGCGCCGCTAGGCGTAGGCGGGGTGGCCCTTGCGTCTCCCGCTTCCTTGAAAAACCCGGCGGGCGAGCGAGGCTGCGGGCCGGCCGCTGCCCTTCCCCACACTCCCCGCCGAGAAGCCTCGCTCGGCGCCCAACATGGCGGGTGGGCGCTGCGGCCCGCAGCTAACGGCGCTCCTGGCCGCCTGGATCGCGGCTGTGGCGGCGACGGCAGGCCCCGAGGAGGCCGCGCTGCCGCCGGAGCAGAGCCGGGTCCAGCCCATGACCGCCTCCAACTGGACGCTGGTGATGGAGGGCGAGTGGATGCTGAAATTGTGAGTGTGCCCGCCCGCCCCGGACGCCGCAGTGTCCTCGCGGGCGTCACCCTCCCAAGCCCGCGCGGCCCGGTGGCGATCCCGCATTGCCGCTTGGGCTCAACCTAAAACCCCGGACCAGGCTTGCCAACAACCTGCGGCGCCGGTGCCGGGCCGCTTGCGATCCTGCACTGCCGCTGGGCTCGACCTGGGGTCCGCGGACCCGCCTTACCAACGACCTGCGGCTGTGGGGCCCGGCCGCTCGCGCCGCGCATGCGCGCCGAGCCCTCGCGGTGACAGCCGAGGGTGCAGCGCGTCCCCTTGCTTTGGGGGACAGTGTTTTCGGGGTGGAGTGGGCAGCTTCCCATAGGGAGGAGAAGGGAAGGAAGAAAATCTGCAAGCAAACCGTGTGCTTTTAGATACAGATATGTATTGGAAGAGAAAGGACATTCAGTGACATCCACGTGCAGTATGAATACGTAGCACAGGCTAAGCAAGTTACCTGTTGAAGAAATTGCAGCACGGTGAAGGCAGGCCATTTGTGTCGTAGTCTTCCGTTTGAAGACCTGGAGATGTCATTGTGAGAATAAAACATAAATATGGATGCCTTTTAAATTTTACAGTATGATTTCAAATAAATGTTGATACTTATTATAACTTGTAAAGGTAGGACTTTCTGAGTAATATTAATAATTGTGCCATAAAGAAAAGAAGATACGCATTGCCCCTTTTAACAATAGAAAGCAAATGGTGGATAGTGCCTTTTCTTTAAGGAGATGGGAAACTACAGTTTTGAGTTAGGAGAAAGAAAGGGATTTGTTGATTATAGTTTAACCTTATAATAGGAAGTGACCATTTGAAAGAGGCTTGCAGTGGATGGTGGGCAGATGTCTGAGCGGGCTTGAGAGACCATCATGGTGGGCTTGCAGACTCTCTCTCTCTCTCTCTCTCTCTCTCTCTCTCTCTCTCTCTCTCTCCCCCTCCCTCCCTCCCTCCCTCCCTCCCTCCCCCTCTCTCTCTCTCTCCTCTCTCTCTTCTCTCTCTCTCTCTCTCCCTCCCTCCCTCCCTCTCTCTCTCTCTCCTCTCTCTCCTCTCTCTCTCTCTCTCTCCCTCCTCTCTCTCTCTCTCTCTCTCTGTCTCTCTCTCCCCTCCCACAACTCCTTTCCACCCTACCTGCCCCCCTCCCGCCCCCACCCCCCAAACATAAAATCTTTCAGGAAATTGCCACATCTCTTTAGCCTGTGGTTTCTGGCAATCTGTATACTACTATTGAATCTTTGTTTTACGTTGAGGACACAGACAGAAAATTGGATCTTTCCTTTATCCAAGACCAAGTTTTGATTCTTTCAATTTAAATTGCAAGCAGGTGCCTATGGAGTGAAAACCTCAGTGTGAGATCAGAGCCAAAATTTATGTCACACAGCAGATTACATTGCTCGAAGAACATAAGGCATATCACCCCTTCAAATGTGCATTTACCTCTTAGTCACAAAGAAGGGGATATTTTAGACCTCCAAATGAAATACCCTTGGTATCATAATAAATCAATGAAATTATTAAAGGGAACTGTAGACATGAATTATTAAAATATTCCACTTAACTATTTTTGGAAGAAGGTGAGGGGGTCATATTCTATTTGAGAAACTTTTAAAATAAGTGGAGCTGTGTTAAGACTTCCATGTTTGTAATAATTTTAAGAGTTTGGGATAAACTGCATTTTGTCAGCCAATACTACAGAAAGTTCTCTTTTCAGTAGGTGCTTACAAAATGGACTTTTTCCTAGATGTCATCTTTCAGGGTAAAACTGAGTTTGCATATGTATGTAAGAAAAGTTAAAACAGAAAGGCCTCCTCATTTTTAATGACTTCAACTCCTCTATGGTTCCTTTTGGAATTGCTTTTTTTTTGGTAATAGAATTAAGAACACTAAAGCCTCAATAAGTTTTTGAGGGAGAGCCAACAACATCTGTGCTTGGCCATGTTGATGGTTCAAATTTTACTTTTTTATGAATGTATAAACCTAAACATAGTAATCAATTGCTCTGAGTTTGTCATGTGTCCAGTTGTATGGAATATGCTTGGCCTGTGATGCCAGATGAGTCTTGTAATCTGGAAGTAAGCTGTGTAGACACAAGGTCATTTTAGTAGACATTCTCTTTTTATCGAGTGCACTTCAGAATAGGTGGCTAGGAAGCAAGGCTGTCAATGAAAATTGATCCAAACCATTCCATCCAACTTCTTTATACGCACTAAAACCCAAGTGCTCATCCTGAAGAAATATTTTGGTTCTTATCTATTTGTGATCTATTTTTTTCTGTATTATCAGGTGATACTCCTCCTCCTTGCTGTGAAAAAAACTCCAGTACTTAAAAAAATATAAAATTCATTATATCCTCCATACCACTAGAGGCCTGCTATGAATTTCTAAGAATTCATTTAAATAGCCTATACGTTACCAGATTTTTTTTTTTATGTATATAACAGAGAAAAACAAAATGCATTAAAATTAGCTTCATCTTGACACTTAGTTCAGATGAGCTGGTCATACATAAATGGAAATTGTTAGTAGTTCAAAGATGTTGTAGTTAACTTCTTTAAAGAAACAGATTGAGAAGCTTTTGTTGTAGTTAACTTCTTTAAAGACACAGATTGAGAAGCTTTCCGATATCAAAATGTATTCATTACTTTGAATGAGAGTTCTTTATTTGTTCATTTGCTTATATGCGCTCTTTCATCTGGGAATTTTTTCTTTTATACGCCACGTCATACAGATCCCCTCTAATGCAGTTTCTGGTTATATTGGTATAGATAATTTATTCTTAAGAATCTAGCAGTATTTGGCAGCCCTGAGACATGAAAAGCTTCTATTATGAAATTAAATTTGGTTATTTTTTCTTAGTCTTTCAAACAGTCAATTTTTTGGATTCTTGCAATTGAATTTCCAGTGTTTTAAAAATGTATGAGTTAAAAGTATATTTGCAGTAATTCACCGTTTCTATTCTGATGATTTTAGAAATCTGAAAAGTTCTCCCATTGCTACATACATTTTCTTTAATGCTATGG
This sequence comes from Homo sapiens, assembly GCF_000001405.40. NCBI lineage: Eukaryota > Metazoa > Chordata > Mammalia > Primates > Hominidae > Homo > Homo sapiens. The sequence goes on along the minus strand of NC_000020.11, from coordinate 8,016,396 downwards.
GCTTATTGTTGTTATTATTATTTTTTAGATGGAGTCTCACTTTGTCGCCCAGGCTGGAGCGCAGTGGTGCGATTTCAGCTCAGTGTACCCTCTGCCTCCCGGGCTCAAGCAATTCTCCTGCCTCAGCCTCCCAAGTAGCTGGGAATACAGGCACCCGGCTATGGGCTTATTGTATACTCGTTTGCCCTTTTTCTGAATTAGGAAAAATGATCTAATCTTTAAACTACTGTATGATGCATGCTTTTCTCTATTGCCATTGTTTTATACTATTCTTCATTCAGTTCCTTTGCAACCTTTTGCTACTTTCAACATTTGCTTGGCTCTCATTATGTCAGTCCTGGAGAAAATGACTTTTGTTCTTTTGAAACATGGAAGTATGTAATATGATACATTCTGGTGGCTTTTTCCCCCAGAAGAAATAGATAGCCAAGTGGCTTAATTTTGACATTCAAGCTGATACTCAGAAGAAAAGTATGTCTTTGGGTTAGTTTACCTCTGTAAAGCATATAAATCTTTATAAATTATTGCCTTTTCTTATTTTTGTTTTTGGAATGATCATGTTTCAAAATTTAAATTAAACACCTGGTGATGGAGCAAAGCTTTGTTTATTTCCATAGGACATCTAGGTTTTAGTATTATCTTTCCAGCCTTCCTTTATACCTGGAGAGAATGTGTTGAACATCATTACCTTAACTTGCCCATGTCAAGTTAGAATTTCTTGCAGTTTAATAGATTGTCTTGATGTCTTGATGGAATGTTTGAGAGACAACTCACTAAATGCTTGTGTGTCAGGTTCAGTGTTGGGGAGCTGGGAAGGTGAAGAAGAATGAGCCTTCCAAGAGATTGTGCTCTGAAGGAAATATGTAGTATAAGTTATGTTCATTTATTTAGTAAATGTTTAATGAATGCTTCCTCTGTGTTGGACATTCATCAGTGCTTCCCAACAGGACACTATTGGCATTTTGGGTGGACAGTTCTTTGGTGTGTGGGAATGGCCCACGTGTTGCAGAACCTTTGGCATACTTGCCCATTATATTCTAGTAGTAGTCTCAGTCATGCGACATCAAAAAATTGTAACTCCCATTCCCTGTGCATACTTCCAAATGCTTCTAATTGAAAACCACTGCTCTAGATACTGTTATGGGTATTTAAAAACATGCGAATGTTTGATTTTAGATGGTTTCCACAAAGGGTTTAAAGCCTCATTAAAACTTGTCATCCTTACCACTTCCATCCACCTCCTCCACTTCCTCATCATCACAATCACAGTTCATAGTTACATGGCTTACATCACATGTTCCAACTAACTGTTTTATTTGATCATTCCAGCAATCTAGTGCGGTATTATTCCCATTCTTACTGACTAGTGGAGATAAAAAAAAAAAAAAGAAAAAAAGAAGCTGGCTAATGCCAGATCCTTAGTAAGTGGGGAGCAAGGCCATAACTATAATGCAGGCCTGAGCTTTGCAGTTTCTGATCTGCAGTTCCCAGTTCTCCTGGGGAGCCTGGAGGAAGGCACAGGGCCTGGTTGACTCTTGCTTTGGCCCTCAGCTAGCCAGCACCCTGACTCACATGAGGGTAGGCCTTGTTCGTGCTGGATTCTAAGGCCCATCCAAGCTTTTACCATCTCTCTAGTTTCTGCAAGTAAAGAACATTTTTACTGTATACTCATTCCTGACACTGTTCACCACTTAAACAGGTGCCCTGCCTTCCCATCATCGCAATGCCCCAGGAAAATTCTTTCTCACTATGCTTTGGTTGTGTCTTGCATGGTCCTATCACAACCAGTAATTACACATTTATTGATATGCTTTTGTACTAGGTCTTTCTTTGACTACCTCTATTATAAGCTTTTAAGTAAAGGAACAAGGTTATTTTTTTCCTTCCCTGTTTATCTCCAAAGCTTTAATAACTAACAAGTAGTTTGTGTTCAAAAAATACTTTGTGACTAGGTAAATGAGTGAATAATAGATTAATTGCTCTTTTATCAGGCACTTCTTCAAGCATATCACTGAAGGAGACATCTTTATATATTTTCTGAAGTCTTAAGGATAATTACTATCATCTCCCATTTGTTCACTGATGGAATATTTATTGTGGTGGCCTAGGACCTTCCAGGTTCTGTTCTGTGGTGCAAGTCATGCAGCAGTCACTGCTTTCGTGGAGTGTTAATTCTAGTGAAAGTCATGAATTCCACTTTCTCTAGCAGGTGTCATGATTTTCATAGAGCTGCCAGTTTTTATGTTTCCTCTACCTTTTGTGATAACACGTTCTAGAAATTATTGTCCAAAGAAATAAATTTGAGCATAAGGCTTTCAATTCATGGGTCATTCCACATTTGCCAAAAGGAAGAATAACACTTGATGTAGTTAAGGCATCTTTTGTTGACACTTTGATTTAGTTTCCTTTATTAAGTCATAGAAAGATGAACCTAGTATACCTCTTTCCTCTTCATTGTTGCTGAGTATTCTGAGCATTTTGATCAAAGTTCTACTAAGTGAAAATTGACTGGATCTGTTATTGACTGTCTCATTTCTGCAAAGATAAGAAAAAGTCAGGAGAAAAGAGAGTGTACTGAGAAACACTGGTGAAATTAGAGTCAAGACAGAAGAAGAGTTGTTCATTATTGGTAAATAAAAATTTATCGTTAATAAAATTTCCTTTCTAGGAAATAAATATAAGTAAGTCCTTCTCTGAAATATTTAGCACACCTAATGAAATCTTAAACCAAATTCAGTAAGTTCATGGAATAAAAGATTCAAGGTCCTTCAACCTCGTTCCATCAACAAAACACGGACAACATGGACAACAAAAACATTCTGTTGAACAAAAAACGTGGACAACAAAAACATGCTGTTGAATTTTGTTTCCCAGAAATGGTTAAAAACATTGCACTGACATGTAAGTTGGTGTAATTTACCAGAGCTTTTTGGCTATCTGGAATATATTTCAAATATGTTTATGAAGTTTACTAATTTTACATACCACTGTGACCTGCAAACAAGTCAACAAAAGTTCAGTAGAAAAGATAACAATTTACAGTTTAAATGACTATAATGGAGCTAATTGCTCTTGGAGGCTCTTAAGGATTATGTGTAAGAGACAAAGTTATGGCAGGTCATATCTTTTATAGTTCTTAGGAGAAGATTGCCAGTGTGAACTAGTTTGAAATAAATTTAATGAAGATCATGTTCAATTATTTCTGATGTGTTTAATTTATGCATATATACATAAATTATATATATATGTATCTATGTGTACACAGAGTGAGAGAGGAGCATGAAGGTCACATGACTGATCCTTGCATTCATTTTGTCCCTGGAGATATTTTACTTAGTTTCTAAATTCTTATACAAATTACTGTTCTTTAGATACAAAAGAATATTAAAAACTTTAAAAACTGCAGCAACAATGGACCAGTTCCCATGCTAAAGACTCAGAGCTGGCTTATCTCTACCACTGAAAGAACATCTGGGTGCATTCCAACACAAATCAGCTGTGATTAAATCTGTGAAATAATGGCATTAACAATGCCACAGACCAGTGTATAGCAGCTATGTAGAAATGGCATATCTAAAATTACCTCAGTGGCATATCCGAGGATGCATTATAATTGTATATCTGAAGGTCAGTTTCACCAAAAACCAACTTAGTAATAGCCTATCTAGAGATTAAGTCCTGTATTTTTTAAATTATGAAACATAATTACTGATGCAGCAAATGTGCCTGTGATTTATATGCAAAGAGCGTCCTAGGGAAATAAAGAGGATCTGAAGTTCATTATATTATATTATACTTCAAGATAACTTCCTTATTCTTGTTACTTTCTTATAACTTCTTTCTCCCTCTGAATGTTGAAGTTTTATATTCCTTGACGATTTTTATCAAAGAAATACCTCCATCTGTGTTCTTGCTCTGAGTGGTCTTAAGCACATCTCTATACCTGCTTTGTCTGTTTGGCAGTGAGGCTGTAAGGTCAGATGAGCTAATGCATCGTAAAAGTGTCTTGAACCCCAAGCAGTATTACAAATGAAATTTGTATTAATGGTTGCTCCTATTAAATAAATATGTGCCTGCTTCGTATTTCATCTGATCTCTCAGTAACCTAAGGTAGCTACTGTTATTATCCCATTTTACAGTTGAGGAAACTGAGGCATGGAGAGATTATTAACCTGCCCAGAATATCATGATTAATTCCTGGTTGATCTTTCTGATTGTTATAGCAGAACTCTTATCCAACATCATGGAACGCTTGTTGAAATGTACTTGATAATTCAGAATTCCTTTTTTTCCTAAAGTTTGCCAACTGCCTGAGTCTCATCTGTTAACTTGGATATTTAGAAACTACATAGAAAATAACTTATTTTCTCAGATGAAGAATATGATTTTCATTAAAGTTGATACACTTGTTTATTCAGCAAACATTTATTGAACACCTACTGTATATCAAGAATGTACTTTGCCTTGGAAATACAGAGACACGAAGGTTTAAAAAAATCTACATTCAAAGATGTCAGCAGATTATTTTGTTGTTCCTGTCTTCTGGATCTCAGGATTTGGACAGTGAGCTGTAATGGAAAGATTAATGATGTTTTAGCATGATCTTGGAATTAGCTATATAGTAGTCTTTTCTAGAGATGGTGAACAACTGTGCTTGCTAAGTCTTGCTGCTTCTGGGGCCTGTCTGGAGAAAGTAATGAATGCTTTGGCTTTGGGTAGTCCATTCTCTTCTGGGTTCTGCCTAATTTTCAGTACTTTTTGTGAAATAAATGCATTCCTTCCCCTAGTCTTCGCTTTTTAACCCCTGACTCATCTTTTATAATGCGAAAGATCAAAATCTTGCCCAATTTCAGTTTTTGTTTTTTGTTTTGTTATTCAGCAAAGTTGGTTTATATGTGTCATTGCATTGATTTTTTTTTTTAATGATACTTACCAGCATGCTTTTGCACAGTTCAGAATTTTGAAGGGATTTGTAAATGATGACCTGACAGGCAACTTTGAGCCTAAATCTTGTTACAGGATTTGATCAGTTTTGTACTTTTCCCCTTACTTTGTTTCCCTTCCTAAGGCATTTTGTGTGTGTGAGTGTTATATTCTATTGGCAGGCATTCTTTTCTACTTCTCTTTCTCTCCCCTGGCCCCTTTCCTCCCTTAATACAGAAATAATAGGTGCCACATTTTGTAAAAACAATTCAGGAATGGAACAAATGAAAAATAAATTGGAGGGAATTGGCATTTTAAAAATGCTCAGCCTGCTTACCCACAAGTTGGTATATTTCTCTATTTATTCAAGACTTTATTATGAAAAATTTTAAACAGACGCAAAAATAAGAATAATATGATGTTTGCCCCCCATGCTTATCTCTGTTCATTTCTGGATTGTACCGTCCACAAGGAGAGGAGGCACCAAATCTCCTTCACAATTGTAGCCTCAGCTTCTGCCATAATGCTTTCTTAGTATTTATTGAATGAAAAATAACTGTAAAAAGTAGGGTTCTGACTTGAAAGCCAAGGTATTTTTAAATTCTGCTAAATTTAAGAAAGTGTTGGGTAGAGCGGGTTTAGCCTATAGCTTCTACTTTCCTTTTCAGAATGTTCAGAATTACCACAGATCTTGGAAACATTCTTGAGGATGCTCAAACAACAGATTTGGTCTCTGCCCATCAGATCTGTAGCTTTGATGGATTTGAAACTGGTTTGGCTAGTTTAGGGTCACCCTGTGAAAATTGTTCTCCTTTAGTGGGGCACTAAAAAGAGCTCTTACCCTCAAAGATCAAAAGCTATCTGGAGAGAAACATAATTGTATGAATAGCATTGAAATAAAATGTTTATGGATAATAATAATTATTGGAAATATTCTCAAACTTTGGCCAAATTTTTTCCTATAGAATTGACATTCATACATTAAATCCTAGTGGGGACAATGTGCTTCTGTTTTTCTATGTCAAATGACTTTGGAAAAGCCTCCTTTTATAATTTCCCTTTTTTAATAATTTATTTTTTAATTTAAATACTCGATTTCTCTGTTTTGCAGATTTCTTCTGTATATTTATCAATATAATTCTTATTCTTCTCTTATAGTTACGCCCCATGGTGTCCATCCTGCCAGCAGACTGATTCAGAATGGGAGGCTTTTGCAAAGAATGGTGAAATACTTCAGATCAGTGTGGGGAAGGTAGATGTCATTCAAGAACCAGGTACTGTGAATGTTGCACATAAAATGCAAAAGTTTACCGACTTTTTATTTTGAATTTTTTTCAAGCATATAGAAAAGTTGAGAGTCTGGGATATTGATTACCCATGAACTGGCCACCTTTAAGTAGCAGATTACATTTTTTGCATACTTGGATCTGTCTTTACGTGTATGTGTTTGCACATACATATTTGCATATATATTTCTATTTTTTCTATTTTTATTTTGCTGAATCATTTGAAAGTAAGTTATCGACATCATGATAATTTACCCTTCAATTCTTTAGCACGTTAAAGGCTTCTTAATTATTTCCCATGTGTCTTTTTTTTTTTTTTTTTTTTTACAGTTTTTTGACTGAGGATCCAATCATGGTTCATAAATTACATTTGGTTGTTAAGTCTTTTTAGTCTCTTGCAATCAACAATTATCCCTCATTTTTTAAAATGACATTGATATTCTGAAAAGAAAAAGCTACAGTTTTCCTAGGTGTTTCCTTATGGTGACATGGAACTTATAGGAATATTAACTTATACGAGTATTTTCTGCAAACTGAGAGTTTAGGTGCATGATTTAGCTTAGACATTTATGGCAAGAGTACTTCTAAGATGATGCTGTGACTTCATATTACATCTCATTAGAAGGGATATGCTATCACCATTAGTAATGCTAATTTTGAGCACTTGGATATGGTGGTGACACTAAGTATCTCAATTATGAAGAAAGGATCTCACATTGTGATTAGCAAGTAACCTCTGGGATGATTTTTTGGGGTTTTAAGATCCATGATGCTCTTGCCTGAATCAGATATTATATTTCACTGTGGTTCCAGAGAGTGAATTTCTAGTTCTGTCATTCTGTCTACACTGATTAGCTGTGAATGATATAAGTTTTCACAAGAATGAATCATTTTTACCCCAAAGAGTGGAGTGATACAGAGACTTTTAAATTCTGAAAAGATATATACAATAAATTTGTGTTTGTAGTTTTAAAACAACTGTATATTATATATAAACTGAGAAGAAAAGATGGCCTTTTATAATCTAAATCTCTAAAATGTGGCTATTTTCAAATTTTAACAGTCATCTTTTTCATTGACATTCAATTTATACCTACTGCATCCTTTCATCCTTTTACAAGGGCAAAAAGAAGATGGGTATAGAAGTGTAGACATTCATTTTCTATAATAAACTGTGAGTTCAAAAAACACTTAAATAATGAAGTACCAGTTACTTGGATAACAGAATAGATGGTACATGTTAAAATTGATGTGTCAGCAAACCCGTGGAGCGAGATTTCTATTAAAAGCCATGAATCCTCATTCCTCTATCTTTGTAAGCATTGTCCTCCATCTAGAGATGGACAATAAAAGCTATTAGTTCATGGTTTTGGCTGTTATAATAAGTTAATTCTGTTTGGAGGCTAAATCATTGCAGATGCATTTTTGCCAGAAACTTGTTTTCATCTTTAGAGTTTAAGTAAACTAAATTCAGGCATAAGACTTGTTAATTACTGGGCACCATGCACATTTTATGATGGGTTTCTTAAAAATGCAGCTGGTCAATTTGCATTTCAGTAATTTGGCACACCTGCTCAGAATTTATAGCATAATTTGAATTAAAAGAATTAAACAGCCTTGTGATGGGTTCACAAATCTTATGTTTAATTAAATATAGTCTTTCCTTCTAAAAATGTAGACTTACAGTTATTTTTAACATTATGAATTGATTAGGTTTTCTTGATAATGAAATAAGAGAGAAATTGATTTTAAGAAATATTTTTAATACATTCAATGTTGACTTGGTTTTATGTATATCTGAAATATATATACTTGAAATATTAAAAGAAGAAGGAAAAACTTCTGGTATTCTGTAGGAATATTGAAAAAACAAAGTCTAATAAAAGATTATTATTTTATGTGTTTGAACAATTTTTTATAGGCAGAGGCTCTAGAATTATTTTAAATGATAAAAATTTTAAAAGTGCAACTCATAAATAAAAATTAGGAGATAAACTTCTACATGCATGATTATTTGAGAGACATAGAAAATATTTCATTTCATATTATACTGTTTTAAATTTATAATTTTACTTTGAATTACAAATTTAATGCTTTCAGTTAATCTTTTAATAGCGATTAGAAGTAACGTGTTTATTCAACAAGTATTTGAGTTTCTACCATAAACAGGCCCTGTTCTAGATACCAGTGATACAAAGGTGAATAAGGAGGACAGAGGCCTTGCTCCTCATGGAGCTGCATTCTAGTGGAGGAGATAAATAGTAACAAAAGAAAATTGGCAAATAATGTCAGATGGTGGTAAGGGATATGAAGAAAACGTAGGATAAAAATGTACAAAATGATTGGAGCTACCTCTTAAGTTAGGATGGCCAGGGAAGGACCAGAGATAAATAGGTTTCAATTTATCAAGACCTGTTTAGCCAGAGGTCTTGATAAATTGAGGAAGTAAATTTCAAAAACCTTTGTGGGAGGAGCATTCCAGGCAGAGCAAACACCATGTGCAGGTAGGAGTGTACTTGGCTTATTTGGAGAACAATAGGACCACCAGTGGAGTACTTGAGATAAATGGGGATGGAGAAGTAGCTAGGGACCACACCCTGTGAGGTCTTGTTGGCCATGACAAGGAGTTTAGATTTTCTACAAAGTATGATAGGGAGCTACTGGAAGATTGGAGCAGGAGAGAGATATGATATGATTTATATTTTAAAATAATTCCTTTGGCAGCTATGTGAAAAAATTGACTACAGGGGATCAGAAGAAAGCAGGGAGAATGGTTAGGAGGTAAATCAGTAGTCCAGAGTTGAGAAGATGGTGGCTTGGACTAGTAACAGCAGTGTTAAGTGGTGGGATTCTTGAGATACTAGGATTTTCTGATGGATTGGTTGCCAGATGGGGTGGAAAAGGAGAAAATGGAGAAGACTGAGGAGAAGTAGGTTTGGGACAGGGGCTAAGTTTGGGATGTTAAATAGATATCCAAATAGAGATGAACTAGAGATGTAAGTTTGAGGACCATCAATATACTTGGCATTGGAGCTAGAAGAAAAATTCAGATTATCTATGATCTGTATGTGCCAGAGTCGTGAGAACAGGCCACTGCAACATTTAGAAAAAAAGAAGTTGCAGCCAGGTGCAGTGGCTCACGCCTGTAATCCCAGCACTCTGGGAGGCCGAGGCGAGCGGATCAACTTAGGTCAGGAGTTCAAGACCAGCCTGGCCAATGTGGTGAAACCTTTTCTCTACTAAAAATACAAAAAATTAGCTGGGTGTGGTGGCAGGTGCCTATAATTCCAGCTACTTGGGAGGCTGAGGCAGGAGAATGGAGAATCGCTTGAACCCGGGAGGCAGAGGTTGCAGTGAGCCGAGATAGCGCTATTGCACTCCAGGCTGGGCAACAAGAACATAACTTTGTCTCAAAAAAAAAAAAAAAGAAGAAGAAGTTCCATCATAGGAGAAGGAACTTCTCCTATGAGAAGTTAGTGAGATAGAGAGGGAGAAGTAGGAGGGTCTGGTAGCCAAGTGTAGAAAGATTGTCTTAATGTGATACTAACTCACTGGCAAGCCTCCAGGGCAGTTTGCCTCTATCTTGGAAGCAGTTTATTTATTTACTTTTTACAAACACTAACGTCTTGAATGAATAGTAAAAACTCATTGAAATGATATTATTTTTCCCCACAGTTGAGCACTTTACTGTGTATTTCTGTATACAAATTTCTATTTGGTTGCAGATCTTCGTTAGTGTATTCTTGCCTTGCCACAGAAGTGCTAGTAAGGAATAATTTCAATTCTTTCCCTGTAAGTAAAATTTAAAGAGGGGAAACAATAATTTTGAAGTGTCATGCATACTCTTTAGTTATTCTTATAACTCTTCCATCAGTAGATCTATTAAGATATTCTTTTAAGTATTTTAAGCAAGGTAAGATTTCAGATTTATCAATGAAACGAGAAAAGTTCCCTTCTTCCCTCACAGGGTGTGCGTTGGGGGTGTGGCTTGCTTCTTTGTGCCCGCTGCTCAAACCTCTAGGGGGACATGCAGACGGGCAGGCTGTGGGGCTCCGATCCCACGGCAGCATAAAGGGGTGAATGTTTACAGCTGAAGCCCCAGTGGGCGTGTGTTACCGTGTGCTCTTTCAGTTTAGCCATCCATAGGTGGCTTGTGTTCGTCAGCTCAATTAGACACCCCCCTGCCTTATCACAGGGACAGAGGGCTTCTTGCCTTGGTGTACCAGAAGAATCGGATCACATGTGGGCTTGGAGAATGAGTGCAAGGTTTTATTGAGTGGAAGTAGCTCTCAGCGAGGTGGATGGGGAGGCCAGAACGGGGATGGAGTGGGAAGGTGGTGGTTTTCCCCTGGAGTTGGGCCACCCAGCGGCTGGGCTGTCCTCCAACTACCCTGGCCAAACTTTCCGTTGTTCTGCGGGTCGACTTGCCAGTGTCTGCTGGTGTGTTCTTCTGCTGGTGTGCTCCTCTCAATGTCCTCTCGATGTCCAGCCGCTGTGTGTTCTTCTGCCGATGTCTTCCTCTTGACTCCCAGCTGCTTGTTTGTGTGCCTGCTAGAGACTCAGGGTTTATATATGCACAGGATGGGAGCATGGCAGGCCAGGGTGGTCTTGGGAAATGCAACATTTGGGCACAAAAACAGAAATGCCTGTCCTCGCCTAGGTCCATGGGCACAGCCCCGAGGGTGGAGCCCTCTCCAGGGGCCCATCTTTCCCCTCCCAGCACTTCCCTGCCCATCTCCAATGTCATCAAAACTAGAGACTATAATCATGTTGCATTTTTATGGCTGAGATGTAGAAGCCGAGGAAAGGGCAGCCCTTAGATTAGGTTACATTACATTGCCTGTTTAATACTGCGTAGATCAGGTGATGTGTCAGTTGAGTTGACTTTGGGAAATTAAATTTAATGAGTATATACTTGAACCTTCTGTTCCATGCAGATGAGCTTAGTTGTCAAGGTCAGGAAAACAGCAGCTGCTCATCACCCTTGAGTGATGGCTATTTCACTAGATTAGAGGTAAGCCAGTCTCCTGCCACAGCCAAGTGTAAGCATTGTCTTTAAAACTACTGATTAATGCAGAAGCCAATTTAGTTTACTGTACTTTAGTGTTATATTTTAAATTTTATAAATGTAAATTTTATCTTGTTTTCTATTATGTTGACAACCTTATTTCAATCTCAAAAGTAAGGTTAATTCTCCTTTTTTTCATTGTGTTTTCCTTCTGCTACCCTCTTTGTTGATAATAACAACATTTAGTAAGCATTTACTTCAGCCTGTGATTGTGCTATACACTTACATGCATTTTAGCTTCATAACAACCCTGTGAAGAACAAACTGTTTATCTCTGTCTTACTCAGAAAACTGAGGCTAGGATAGGTTTAGTAACATGACAAAGATAACATGCTAATAAATAGTACAACAATGGCTAATAGATAGCTATTAGCTATCTCTGTTTTCTTAATACTGAACCTAAATAATTTCTGTTGTGTTTTGGCTTATCAAAATGTAATTCTCTTCCATAATTTTTTTCTTTCTCTAAGCTTTTAATTTTTCTTTCTTTTGCTGCATGTGTTTAAGATAAGGTTTCTGATACAGTGTTAAAATCTGTCCTGCATTCTCTGTTTGTGCCTACTTTATGTTGTGTCACAGTCTTCATTTTAAAGTGGAAGTTACCCTTAAAGTAAAAAAGGCATGTAGAAATTTTGGAAGGCTTTGTGGCCTAACTTTATCCTTTTTACTGAAAAGCTTAGGAGTATACTTGTTTCTTCCAAGCTTACTGAAGTTATTGCACTGAACTATTATCCTGAGACAAGCTGCTATTATGATGTTCAAATTCTTTGTCAAGATCCACATTTAACTTAATGTTATTAAACCCTGAAGCCACAACCTCAGATGGTGCTTCTGTATTCCAAGTGGTCATGTTTTAATTTTCAGGTAATGAAAATTTTCCTGGACACGTCATAGAATCAGTGTTAAAGGTTAGAAGACATTTTTGGAGTACTGAGATGAGACCCAGAGTTTTCGGATGTCTTTTAGCCTCCCAGAAGTTACTTTTTTTTTTTTTTGAGATGAATTTCTTATGGTGTTGGATCTACAGGGATTTAGTAGCGTGTCATCATCCAAGGAAGACTTCGACTGTTCTGGATCTTGTTGTTGTTGATTTTACTGAATATATCATTATATGACAGAATATTATTCCAGACAGCAAACTGAACTCGTGTCTGAGTTGGGTGCTGCAACCTCATTGTTAATATTCCACATAGGCTGTCATTTGAAGAAATATTGACAAACATAAATGAAAGTAATCTTGAGGTGATATGATTTATTGGTCTTTATTTTAATAAACCTTAATTGATGGCCTTGTAAATTGGTACAGTAGTCAGTGAAACAACATAGCAATTCATATCAAGAGACATAAAGTTATTATACCCTTTAATCTAGCAATTTTGGGAAGAACTCTCCTGTTATTCCTTTTAGCCAGAACCAGAAAGATGCAGAAAAACCTCAGAGACCATCTGTGACTTTGATACTTTTTCTTGGTACTCACTGATTTTCATGAGTACATTTATTTGTAAAGATAATTTATGTTTTCTGAAATGAGGTGCAATTTCTAAAAGACTTAAGACTAAAGCCTCCTGAATCTGGAAATGTTTTATATATTGTATAATTAAATGTGTTTTATGAAATATTTTTCTACTTATTTATTTACTTCTTTATTTATTGTCATAGCCAGTGATGACTAAGAACATACAAAAGAGCAAGTTAAAAAATCACTTTAAGTGATACCTAACATTTAATAGAAATCTTGTCTCTTTATTCTGATAAAAATAAAATCTAAGTAAAAAACTTTAAGAGGTGATGAGATACTATTTAATTTCTTCATTCCATTTTAAAAAAACATACAAATGAAATATACATTCTTAATACCGTAACTGTCTTTAGATAAAATTTTTGGCTGGTCATAAGGAACTATAGCTAGGTAAGAAGTAATGTATGAAGCTGTTCATAATAATTATCTTAAACCAAAGGCATATACTAGTTTTTTAAGTATTTAGGAATAACAGTACTTTTTCCCCTGGCAAGTTAGAATTGGAAGTATACTGTAGGATACCCTTGTTCCCTCCAGGGTGAAATCCTGAGCAATGTGAGAGATGAAAATGCGCTTAGAAGTGCTTGTTACAATCCTCAGTTGACCTATTTTTGGGTCACTCGTGTTTATGTTACTGGTGACAAAACTTTTTTTTCCAATGTACAATGACAAATTTTTGTAGTAAATGTTTCTTTTTGTGACTTTGACTTTTACTAATCCAGAGCATTGTGTTTCCTTTTAAATACAATTGAGATGTTTTGGAATCCACTTGGTCTGAAATGAAATAAAATACAGAATTCTTTGAGAAGACGCATCATTTGTTACTAAATTATGTTGAATATGGATTTAATTTATAAAATGGGTGAAAGTAAATTTTCCATGTTATTAAAAGTAAAGCTTCAGTGTTTTGAATTGCAAGTTACCACAGGGATGTGTGATTTGAGCAACTTAATTTGAATGGATATTTGATTTTGTCCACATTGTTCTACAGTGGGAAAGGCAGCTGTGATGGAAAATGTTAAAATGATGCCTCTGTCATTTTTCCATGTTGGCCAGGAGGATCCTTAAGCTTTCATTCTCTTTACTTATTCTTGGTGCCCATGCAAATATTATTTATTTGTAACATTTAAAGGGCAAGGATCTGTTCTTTACTCCTAGTCTCATTCAGCATTTTTTTGCATACCTACCCTTTTTTTAAATATTTTCATTCTCTGTTTGTGGTTGTGATTGTGATTATTTGAATAAGTTATTTCCTTCTGCTACTAGACTATAAGCTCTGTGAGAATAAAGGTTGTACATGTTTTTATTCATCCATGTGTCTTGAGTGGTAACCACAGTCTCTGGAACAAAGAAGGTGCTTGGTAAATATTTGTTGAGGTACTAAGGGTTTTATTTATCTTTGTCTTTACATGCACATAACATAGCATTTGATATGTACTTAGTGTTCAGTAAAGGTTTGCTAAAACAAATTGGAAAAAATATTTTTCACATACATATATTCCCTTTACGGTACTTACAGATTTTATAAATGTACAAACATTATACATGATCTTAATCATTTCATATTACTTATTCTTTTTAAACTGATAACTGATGTAATCATACCTATAGTTTGTTGAGTCCTTCACTATGTACCCAGCACCATGCTAAGCCTAATAACACTTGCCCTAATCTAACTTTAGAACCATTAAGTTAGGCTTTTATATACCCATTTTATAGAAAAAAGGTGACTGAGACTAAGAAAGGTTAAATAATCTAAAGTTATAAAGTTAATAAATGGGTAAGTCGGTATTTAACTTTGCAAAACCCCAGTTTGCATGACTCTAAATCCTATCCTTTCAGCCTCCTTACAATCCAAGTGATGCAAGTTGTATGTCAGTTACTAGAAAGTGTTAGGTAATAAAAATAGGTAGAAATGAAATTTCTGTAAGTCAAAAAAAATAGTAAATGTGAGTCAACAATTGCAGTGATTTTAATAATGTGATTATGAAAGTAAGCTCAAGAATGCTTTTTTTGGAGGACTTAAGTGTAACTTTTGTTCTGTTTATGCTTCTTGTAGGTTTGAGTGGCCGCTTCTTTGTCACCACTCTCCCAGCATTTTTTCAGTAAGTTTAAATAATCTTCTAATCTTGCAAATATTAGAAATCAATAGATGTGTACCAGGAATTCTAAGTTGTCTTCCATGACTGCCACTCATTCAGCTTAACATGTGAGGGAAACAAGGCTGGTGTGCTCTGAGTGAGAGCTGTGACAAGAGAAGCTTTCCTGGAGTGCTGCAGAGACAGAGGTCCTAATGTCAGGCGTAGGTGGGCAGGAGAAGTCAGAGATTTCTCTGGTGATATCAGAGGTGGGGTAATTCTTAATATCTAAGTAGGAATGCATTAAGCCAACAAGGTAGAGAAAGTCTTTCCAGTTAAAGGAGATAGCATAAAAAAGCCCAAGAGAGAATGAGCTACCTTTTGAGAACTTTGAACTAGTTCTTTATGGCTGGACCACAGGTATAGCTGGATCATGCTGAGTGATGAGGCCAGAGAGACTCAGGTACAGGCAGGGGAAAGATAAAGAAAGTAGTGAATTCCAGAGATACTTAGGAGGTAGGATCAGTGGGACTTGGTGACTGATTAGCTGTGGGAAGGAAGAGTCTATGATGACTACCAACAGGCCATGTGTAACTAACTAGTAAAAGCTATTGCCTGCCTTCATGATTAGGAGCCATTAAAATAAGAGGAGGTTTGGAAGATAGAGACAAAAATGCAAAAGATAAGTGTGACTTGCCCTTCCCAGTTCCAAATGGAGAAGTCTAGGTACAGTTTGATGTCAGGATCCAGAGTTCAGAAGAAAGATCTAGACTGGAGATACATATTGAGAATTCCTCAGCATTGAGGTAAAAGTTGAAATATATCTAGAGAGAACATGTATGGTGGGGAAGGGAAGCAGGTCAAGGATGGAACCTGGGATTGGCCAACATTAGGACATCTGCAAGGAAGACAGTGAGTGAAGGAAATGGAGAAGTAATGCTCAGAGCAGTAGGAAGAAGTCCAGAGAGCTCCTGTCATAAAAGCCAAGCACAAGGAAGAAAGAAGTGGTATTCAGCAGTGAATGAACAATGCCAGTAACAGGTGAAGGAAACAGAAATGGATACGGCACTTAGGGGTCATTGGAGACCCCCAGTATGAGTGGTTTCAAGGGAGTCCTGGGAGCAGAACCCCCAGTTGCACCAAGTAGTGAATGAGACATAAAGAGGAGAAAACAGCAAGCCTAGACTCTTCCCTGGGGGCCCTGATTGCTGCAAGTAGGTGAGAGGGAGGCCAGGTTGAAGGGGGGTATGACGTTTTTTGTTGATGTTTGAGGAGAGGGCCTTGAACGACATAAATTTGAAAATGTGGATACAATGTTTTAAACTTGATAACAATGGCTGTTTTGCTATTGTAAGAGAAAAAGTAATTGGTAGCAAAAATAATAAAAAGTAACTTGGCATATTAAACACTGCCAAGAACTCTGCTTTTAGTCACACTTTGTACGGTGATAACATAGAATGTTAACGCTTTTAGGTTTGAATTTCTCACTTATAGTAAAGCTTATTAACTCTTTCTGATTTATCTCTATGTATATTTTTCAATTGAGTCAATTTAAAGTTCAGATGGCGTTCAGATGTATCACCAGTAGCTATTTTAATTTTTATTATCTGTAACATCGTTATTTTAATGCATTTGCTTTCTACTTGTTTTCATAATTTATAGTGCAAAGGATGGGATATTCCGCCGTTATCGTGGCCCAGGAATCTTCGAAGACCTGCAGAATTATATCTTAGAGAAGAAATGGCAATCAGTCGAGCCTCTGACTGGCTGGAAATCCCCGGCTTCTCTAACGTAACTCAATTTTTTAAGACAAGGTGTTACTAATAAAACAGGAGGTTTTAAGTTAATAGCCTGTGGGTCTCAAAAAAGCCTATGTTTTACTTCACATTTACTTCCAATTACCCAGATTACTCATGGCCATGCTTAGCCCATGCAGTATTTCTGATTTTGTGACCTACATATGTTTCAGCTGGTTTTTAGTATACTGGGAATTAAGTAGCCAGATTTGAGTGGGTTACAGAACGCCTCTTTTCCAGCTTTTACACTAAGCCACAATGACTATTTTTCTCTTTACAAAATATGGTATTGAACATCATTTACCATTCTTTCTTCCTTTTAAGTTATTGATGAGACAGAGGAATAACTGTTTATTGAATTATAGTTTATGAAGGAATTGCTATTATATATTATGTGGAAAACAAAACCTGTGGAGTCTTTGGCTGCCTCGCAAAATACCACAGGGGATAGCTTTGGCCTTGACGGCAAACTGTATAATACTTGGTGAGGTAGATTAGGCCAAACCATAACAGCTTTTTCCACAGTTGGTTTTAGTTTTGAATGGATTGTCATATATATAGATAATTTTATGTTAGTATATACAAGTGTAAGAAATTTCCCTACTGAAAAAGGAGCAAATCAAGCAATATTTCAGGAGTAAATCATCTAGTGGCATCTATATTAATATTAAGGAAACACATAGCTTACTCTAAAAACAACTCTCACATTTCATTCTACAACCATTTGAGCACTGATTTAGCCAGATACTTTCCTAGGTGCTAGGTATTCAACACTGAACAAGACAGACATTCACCTCAGGTACAGAGAATCATAGTTGGGATGAGGGTGGATAAAAAACACAACAACATATTTTACAAAGATGGGATAGCTCTGGGGTTATGGACCTGCTCTTCTAGATGGAGGGAGTAGGAGACATTTCTCTGAAGGGACGCCTCTAGGTGAGATCTGAATGATAGAAGGAACTAGCTTAGGCAAAGAGCAGAGGGAAGATTATTCCCAGGAATGGGTATGGCATATGCATAAGCCCCAGTTTGGAAAGGAGCTTGGTGTACTTAAGGAGCAGAATGGTGACCAGGGTCAAGCATAGTGAAAGGGAATGTAGGATGAGCTGAGTAAGAGGGGCAGGCTGAAGCCAGGTCATGCAGGGCCTGTGGCCACAGGAAAGAAGTTGGAAGTGATCAGCACACACAAGGAGAAGGTGACCCTTAGGAGAGGAGATTGGAGAGGGCAAGAATGGATGAAGTGAGTTGAGGCTTAGAGTGGTAGCTTGTGTCAGGTGGCAGCAGTGGGGATGTGGGGATGGAGAGGCTGAGTGGATTTTAAATATGTTATGAAGGTAGGCTTGGCCAAGGTGAAGGAGAAGAAGGATTCATTAATAAAAACTTACAAGTTTCTGGTTTGAGTACATGATGGATCTTGGTACTTGTTATTGCCTTGGGCAAGAGAAAATTAAGGATTCTGTATAAATCTTGTTGGGTTTGAGATGCAGACTTTGTAGAACTGTCACAGTGGATGCTGTATTAGTCCATTCTTGCATTGCTATAAAGGAATACTTGAGACTGGGTAATTTATAAAGAAAAGATGTTTAATTGGCTCATGGTTCTACAGGCTGTACAGGAAGGATGATGCTGGCATCTGCTTGGCTTCTGGGGAGGCTTCAGGAAACTTATAATCATGGTGGAAGGCGAAGGGGAAGCACATAACATCACATGGCCAGAGTAGGAGCAAGAGAGAAGGATGGAGGTGCCACACACTGTTAAACAACCAAATCTCCTGAGAGATCACTCATTATCAAGAGAATAGCACCAAGTGGATGGTGCTAAACTATTCATGAGAATCCGCCCCCATGATCCACTCTCTTTCCACCAGACCCCACCTCCAGCATTAGGGATTACAATTTGTTAGGAATAATGCTTACAATTTTAAGAAATTGAACACTTGAACAAAGGATATTTAGCAAAGCAATTTTATTTTTGCGCAGAGAGGTGCCTTTTTGGCCAGTCGCCATGAGAGCACACTTGAACAAAGGAGTACGAGAGCCTTTATTTTTGACGCAAGTCTTGCCCCTGTATCCTTTTTTTATTGGCTGGGGTCAGGTGTATAAACTAATTTTAGTTGGCTAAACATTTGAATTTTTTTAGATAAGGTGGGCACATAGAAGAAAGAGGAAAGGGGAAAGGGTGTCTGTAGTGAGTCAGAAAGTTGTTTTTTTTTTTTTAAATAAGGAAAGGAATGTGAGTTGGTACTGATAATGGCTGGTATTGTGGCATGCCTGCGCATTTAACAAAGGCAGAAAGGAAAAAGGAAAAAAAGAGGGGGTGGTTAACTCTGAATTAAAAGATTGATTAGGCTATTTGAAGGGAAACCTTATCATATCTCACAAATTGAACATACGATTTGGGTGGGGATACAGATTCAAAGCATATCAGATGCATGGAAATGGGTCCCCATGAAGAATTCAGGAACACAAAAAAACCTACAGACAATGTTGAGGTGAGGGGAACACCTAGAAAGAAGGAAAAAGAGAAGAGTACTTGGGGATGAGTCATGGGCCACCCCCAAATTAAGAAACTGTGTTGAGAAGTCAGCCAAAGGAAACTGAAAATGAGTACCAGAGAGGCAACATGAAAACCAAGGTCTGCCATTTTCCAGAAGCCAAATGAGTGTTCAAGAAGAAGGGCGTAGTCTCTTGTATCCCATGTTACTAAGAGGCGAAGGGAGATCAGGTCTGAGACATGGACATTGAATGAAACATGGTGAGGTCATCATGGCCTTGACAATCTGTTCCTGTAGTGGTGAGGGTGGAAGCCAGATTTTAATCGATTAAAGGTACAGTAGAGAAGAAACAGCATGTGTAGAGTAATCTGGAGAAATTTATCTGTGAAGCTGGAGGGTCATGTGAGGTCCAGGGATACTCTTTTTAAAGGGTAAAAGAGAGTAGAGCATGTTCATATGCCAGTGAGACTGTTCTAGGAGAGAGAGAGAAGTTGCTCGTGCAGGAAGGGAGGATGAGAGAAAGAACCAAGTCCTAATAAGACAAAATGGATAGGATCCAAGGCACAAGTGGAGGAATTGGACTGTGATAAGAGAGTTAGACTTTTCCTGTCATAACAAGAGAAGGTGGATGCAGGTGGACACCAGGCTCAGATTTGGTAGTGGGAAGATGAGAGAAAGCACATGGTGGCTTCTGATTTCACAGTGACATATGAGGAGTGCTTGTTAGCTGAGTACATGGGGATGGGAAGATGTGTACGTTTTGAAGAGAAGGAAAAGGAAATGAGCTATTTTCTTAGAGCTTAGAAAGTGCTGGACAGTATTACGTGTCCACTTAGGTTTGGGACTATGAAGCAGAAAGAACTGTCATCTGGTTATGTGATGTTTTTTCCCTGGAGACATTCAGCTGCTCAGTGTTGAGATTTTTGCCGGGTAGGCACAATGAAAGGAGAAAGGGCCAAGGAGTTGGAATAGATTTACAGCAGAGTGATTCAAATGATAGCCACTGAATCTAAGCTCTGTAAGAACAGATATGAATCTGGGAGAGGGGGCAATATTTAGCAAGAAGTGGAGGGAAATAGACCAGTCCTCCTGACCTGATTTTCATTTTTTTTTTATAGTATATATGATCACTGTTTCTTCTCTTTATTTTTTTTTAAGGATGTCTGGAATGGCTGGTCTTTTTAGCATCTCTGGCAAGATATGGGTAAGTAATCTTAAATAAAACGTTTATATTTGCAGAGAGGTTAAGAATAAAAATACAGCTTTTAAGCAATAGGAAAACAAACATTTATAAGTACATTTATAATTTCACTTTTTTTCTTAAGCCATGCAACTACTCTCATGTGGGGTTTCCAGTGGTAATGTCGTCATGTAGAAGGGCATAATCTGAACAGTAACCTGTAACTACTGTGTCGAGGTCTTATTTTCTTAAATCAGTGGTGAAGTCTTTCATCCAAGCAAAACGGCTTATGTGATTTTACTTTATCTTATGTATTTCTTTGTAGGCATATCTCCCTACAAAGGAAAGATTGTCTAAGACTGAAAGTAGTTCTGTATGTCAGGGATTAACAAACTCTAGCCTGTGGATGGGCTACCTGTTTTTGTAAATAAAATTTTACTGGAAGACAGCTACATTTATTCATTACCTATTGTCTATGACTGCTTTCATGCTACAATGGTACAGTTGAATAGTTGTGACAGACACAGAGAATTGTGGTTCACAAGCCTGTAATATTTACAATCTGGCCTTTAAGTAGTAGACCCCTGCTATATGTGATCGTATAATTTCTCTGAGTCATTTCAGTGGGTTAGAACTGTTATTCAGGTTTAATTTTTGAACCATTATATAATGTTGAGTATGTCCCATAACCTTTTATTTCCCTTCTCTGTAGGGGAGGACTAAATCCAACCAGATTGAACAAAATGGCTCTGGAATTAAATATAGCTCAAAATATTTCAAAAAGTCTTAGAAGCGAGTCTCCCTATATATGTCTTTTCTATGCTATGATTGTAGGTTATGGTGTCATGTTTGGAACATAATATTCAAAGAGTTTGTGAAGACTCTTTTTCTGTTTCTCATACACATTCATATATGTTGAAAGACATTTAAGAAAAACCTTTTGTATTCCACTTTCTCAGTTCCATTTATATTCTGCCTTGTGAGATAGAATACCTACCACAAGGTTTTTTGGTTGTTTATTTTTTACAACAGAGGCGAATTGAAGACTTGGTTTCAGTCTTTCAGGTTAAAATTTAACTTTTTTTGGCATTTGTCTCACAATAAACAATAACTAATATTTCCCCCTCTCCAGATAGTTTGAATTTCATGTGGTTTCCTTCTGCTGCTTTCTTAACATTGGTGAGAACTTTAATCAAGGGCTAAGAATTATGAATTGCAAACTGGGAATTGAAAAGAGATTCTGCCTTTTGCAGTATGTTGATATTAAAGACTGACAAAATCATGTAGCCTGATGGCTGTTTGAGCCGTGTAGCATTATACTGTCTAATTCAACAGAAAAATTGGAGTAGATGGTTGTCAGGCAGCATTGACTGTGAAATTTTAGCACCAAACCTATGATAAGTGCAATAGAATTTGTTCTGCAGGTTAAGAAGAGCTTAGATGGAAGCTGATTATGGCCTTCATTGACTGTAAAAGAGAAGTTTTACTTTCAAAGACGATAGCAGGGAAGATACATAATGGCCCTGACCTCATATAGCTTGTAATTTGGAGCTTAGACAAACAAGTTTAAATAAGGAGTTACAGTTTTTCATTATGTCATGCAGATGATTACAATGTGTAACATTTAGAGTGTGTCAAGGCCAGGAGTGGGTGTTTTATCTTTGTACACACAGTGCCCAGCTATGGGCAACACAGATGTATTCTGTGTGGATGCATTAAACTGGAGAGAAAGAGCCGTTTGGAGAACAGAATGTGATCCATGTCTGAATAACTAATGAATATGTTTTTCTTAATGATTGAGAAGTAGAATATATATGTTATATAAATGTATATTTATAATTTCCAGATATTTCCAAAAGGAACCAAAAATGATCATTTTATAAGATAAACTAAAATTTGGCACACAAGTAATTACATTTTATAATTGTAAAATGTAGAATGCAAAATGTACAATTATATAAATGTATAATTGTAAAATAGTTTTATCTAGTATTAATACCATGTGTTTTCTTTTTTATAAGCATTTGCATGGAGTAATTTTTCTATTTTCAACCTTTTGATTATGTTTTAAATAAATCTTATAAAAAGTATATAGCAAGATATAATTCTTTTAACTGATGAATTTAATCCATTTATATTTATTGGGATCACTAAAACATTTGTCCTGATTGTAGGGTGTGTGTATGTAGGGGAATGGAAGAGAGTTGCACATAAAAGAACGCAAATGATACAGTGTTATTTTGATCTCCGTGTGTGTGTGTGTGTGTGCATTACCTTAATAATTTGTGAAATCTGATACTGCCCTCCATATCAGCATGTAGCCTCCCCAAGCCTCTTGCCAACTTTTGTGATTTATTCTTAGAAATAAGTCCCCATCCTTTCATCAGATCTGTAGGTAGGTCTCTTGCCACCTGTGTTTCTAGAATGTGGCCCTTGTCCTCTGATTTATAAGGCACACCATCTCTGACCTAAAGAGACCCAGTCCTTGGCTACCCATCAGGTCTCTGGTCCCCACTCCCACCTTTAGTTATGGTCTTGCCTTCCTGTCTTTATAGAGCCACTTACTCAGCGAGTCCTTCCAGCTGACTGCCCTGCCTGCTCAGTTAGCTCATTTAGCTGACTCTTCCTTTAGTCAGAGTTCCTCAAATCCATGTTGAATGTATAATTGTGGCAAACGTATTTGTTTTTTAACTCATGTCTAGATCATATGAAACTACAATGCAAATATATTAATAATGAACAGAAGAAACAACTGTACATGGTGAGACAGAAATAGACTAGGGATGGAAGGTGGAACCAAAAAAGTGTAAAGTCTCAGAGAAAGAAGATTATAAAGATGGAAGAAGGAAAGACGTAGAATGGCTAATGCCAGTGAGACAAGATTGTTTATGCCTATCCATAGTCTCTTTATCTTACTGAAATATCTGGATACATGTACAGATAGAAATCAGTCTTTCCTCAGCAACAGTCTTCCCTGGATGGGTAGCTGGTTAGATGTAAGTATATCTGCAGGGAAGATGACAAAACAGTATAATGGATGTTTATATGGCGTTTTTGTGTGTATATAGGAAAATGCTTAGAGATCAACAGTAGTTTTCTCTGATATGGGTGATTTTTAAAAACGTTTTTTCTATAACTTCTATTTTCTTCTGTAATGAAAAAATGAAAACAATATATTTAGATCAGAGCCTATTGAGCTAGTAATTATCTAGAAGATATCTAGAAGATCAGAGATATATCTAGAAGATCAGCGCCTACTGAATTAGTGATTCCTTAAGGGGCTTGGGTTTCTTTCTGCCTTAGAAGTGAAGCCAACTTGCTAGGTTGCACATTCTGGAGATAAAAGCTGGTCCTCAAGATTCTAGGATCACCTGGTGATGAGACACTCACATGGCCGAATTCCTATCAACTCAGGAGTTGGTTTGGTTTGCATTTGGCCTTCTTAACTTCATACCAACCTCCCCTATGTTCTTGCTTGAGTAAACTGTTGAGGTGAGAAAGTCCCTTGAATAGTCTTATGAGGCAGTTCCTGTCAGCTTCCTGCTGTTACCCTGAATCCCAGGGATCCTCGATATGTCATTCATACCACAATATGGACAAGAGTAGATGATCTCCAGTGTTCTTTCCATCACTAAATTTAAATTTTCTTTCCAATTCACTCATGATGGCGCTCACCTGCATATTTTAATTTTTATATAAACTCACAGAAGTAATTACCTCATTAGCTGTTAATATCTATCCTCACAAATAGTCTCAACATTTTACCCATCTCACAGATGGAGTCACTGAGGCCTAGGAGATGGGACAGTTAGAGGAGTTTCTCAGAGAGTTGACATCTTCAAAGGACAAAATTGATTTTGATTTTATATTATAGTAGCAATATCCAATTTCTTTAAAATTGTATGCAACTTAGTGACTAAATGAAAAATGTTAATACTCTAATGGATAGTACAAGGTGAGGTGAATATCATAAAAGCAATGTGCAGAAGATTGAACTTCAGGAAGCATCACTGCCAAGTCTGGTGGCATAGTTAGGATTAGAAGTTCTTGGGTTTTGTGTGTGGCACATGTGTGGAGAGAGACTGTCCAGTCTTCTGTCTTCCCTCTTTTCACAGTTGGCTACAGTGCTACAGAGTGGCACTATCCTTCTCTTCCAGAAACACATCATTGTTTCACACCTTATGTGTAGGCCCCTGAATCCTATTTTTTTTTTTTCCAGCCATAGACTTGTTCCTAGAACCCTTTGAGTGCCTAGTGCAGAATCTGGTACCTAGTTAATGTGCTTGATAATTGCTTTTTGTTAGTTATATGTATTAATCATTATTGTCTTCATTATTTTACTTTTTCCTTCTCTTTATAGCCAACGTGGAATACTTTAACTTTTGTTAATTTTTTTAGCCAATGCTGATAGCAGGCTTAAAATAGGGTTCCGTGGCAGTTGCTCAGCATATAGGTTGAGCATCCCCAAATCCAAAAATCCAAAATCCAAAATGCTCCATAATCTGAAACTGTTTGAGCACCAACGTGACACTTAAAGGAAGTGCTCACTGGAGCATTTTGAATTTCCGATTTTTGGATTTGTGATGTTCACCTGGTAAGTGTAATGCAAAAATCTGAAAAAATCAGAAATCTGAAGGCTGTCTGGTCCCAAGCATTTGGAATAAGGGATACTCAACCTGTATATGCTTTTGCGAACTAAGTTTAGCATTTAAATGTATTTAAAGCATTTTTTATTGGATTTGTTGAATCTCTGCTGCTCACTGATAATATAGGATGTAACTTCCCTTTCCTAAATGTTACTGTCGTTTTGAGAGGATGTAGGCATATGGCAGATTTTAGCTAAAATAAGATGTGCTACATCCTTGGGAGGACAATCTGTGTGATGGATGCTACCTTCCCTTTTTATTAGAATGACGTGACAGAAAACTTAAGGCTTTATTTAAAATATCTGATGATGAGAATTAAAAGCCATGAACATTTAGACTAGAGAAGAACAAAGTGTATTTTAAAACTTGAAAACATTCTTCTGTGATTTACATAGCATGCCTCTTCTCAATGTTTTTTTCGTATAAAAATGTTTAGAATGTTTTGTAGAATGTTATAGTGAGACAGTGGTGCACATCTGTAAGGTACCTTTCATAGATCCTACAAGAGGCTGCAAGGTTATGTTTTGTTACAAGTGCTAAGAGCTAAAGCATGAAAGAGGTGAACCCTTGGCCATCATTGAAGAGTCTTTTCTAGCTGTTTCCTTGCAGGGAAGATATTTTGGGGATTCTGATCTGTGTCTGAAAGAGATAAAGGGCTTGTTCCAGAACTCCTCAGAGAGTATATCCTATGACACAGGTGAACTCTAAATCCAAAGGCTCTCTGTCCTTCAGGGCCAGTCTAGGTTTGAATGAGACTCTGCAACACTGGGCTGGATGAGTGGGTGTGACTAAGTAGTATTTAATCCAACCTGCAGTAGTTTAGACTTCCAGAGGGAGTGCTTGCCTTTCTGGGGAGGGAAGGCTCTACCTCAGATGCATGGAGGCCTTGGCTTGGCTGTCTTCCTTAAGTCTGTCTGACCACTGATTAGAATGCTCTTCTCATTTATTCTGTTGTAATGATGTTTTAATTTCATCTTCTCACTCAAATATGTATGTAGCCAAAAGTTAGCTCTAACTTAATCATGTACTATGATAGTATAAGGTGTCACACCCATCAGATGACATTTTAGTGCATTTTCAGTGAACAGACTAAGATTTTTTTTTTTTTTGAGGCAGAGTCTCACTGTGTCACCCAGGCTGGAGTGCAGTGGGGCGATCTCAGCTCACTGCAACCTCCGCCTACCGTGTTCAAGCAATTCTCCTGCCCCAGTCTCCCAAATAGCTGGGACTACAGGCGCCTGCCACCAAGCCCCACTAATTTTTGTATTTTTGTTAGAGACAGGGTTTCACCATATTGGCCAGGCTGGTCTCGAACTCCTGACCTCGTGATTCACCCGCCTCGGCCTTCCAAAGTGCTGGGATTACAGGTGTGAGCCACCGCGCCCAGCCCGAGTAAGATACTTTCTTATTCATCTAGTACCATAGTATAAGGTATCATGCCCATCAGTTTACATTTTTGTGCATTTTCAGCGAACAGCATGGGATATTTCCTTGTGGTAAGCACATATAATATTGAATAAGGATCAGTATTTTCCACAAGTGAAAACTGTCACTTTGCCTGGTAGTTAAAGAAACAGAAACACAATGATCTAAAACTGAATTGGATTTTATTTAATAAGCTATTCCTTTGGAAACATATATAAAGCAAAACTTCAAGGACATGGTACCACTAATCCTAACACTCATAAGGGGCTTTAAAGCTGTTGTAGACTCAGACAAAGTAGACAGATAAATATTTATATCTGTAGTTGTGAAAGTACAACCTGATTAATGAATAGTTACTAATAATGACCTAAAAGACCAGAAGATGGCAGAGTTTCTCCAAGAAACTCAAATTCCGTTAAAGAGGAAATTGATACAAGAAAATTGAAGTGCAGCTTATTAAAATAAGAGGATGTTTTGAAAGTACTAAGTGTTTGAGTCAGAATGCAATGCTTCAAAAGCAAATGATTTAATGAAATTTAAAAATAATTTAGAAAGTTTCTTGAGAGTTGCATTAATCATTTATTTTGCAGAAAGGGCATGAGATACTGTATAGAAGGACTTAAAACTGCACATTATTTTTCCTAACCATATGAGTAAGATAAATCAGCAGATACTTATAAAGCAAGTTCTAAAATACATTCATGGGTTGACACAGAGGCAGATTGACTTTGACCATCTTCTAATTCTTTGGCACATTTCCGGGTTTAATATTGATGATACTGAGTCCTCCGAGAAAAGCATAAGCTTAATACACAGTATTTTCTAAAGTAGGAAACTATACAGTAAATTTTAAAACTTTCTTTGAAAAGAGTTTGAATGAAATGATGTTTTGATATCTCAAACACGCCTTTTGCTTGCTGAGTTGTAAAATGCTAAGTTACTTTTTTTTTTTTTTTCTTGAGACGGAGTCTTGCCCTGTCACCCAGGCTGGAGTGCAGTGGCGCAATCTCAGCCCACTCCCTCTGCCTCCGGGGTTCAAGCAATTCTCCTGCCTCAATCCCCTGAGTAGCTAGGATTATAGGCGCTTGCCACTACGCCCAGCTGATTTTTGTATTTTTAGTAGAAACAGGGTTTCACCATGTTGGTCAGGCTGGTCTCGAACTCCTGACTTCGTGATCTGCCCGCCTCGGCCTCCCAAAGTGCTGGGATTACAGGCATGAGTCACCGTGTCCAGCCAAGTTACTCTTAATAAACAGTTGTCCTGGCTAAACACACACTGATGACCAGTGCCATCAACAGAGGACAGATGCCAGCTTTACAGTTTGAGAGTGTGTTTGCCTTTCGTATGAATAAATAGCTCAGGCATTTGATGCATCTTTTCCTTATTCAACAAATACTGATTGAACACTTTGATTCCATGTGTCAGTGTTTAAACTACTTGCTGCGTCTTTAGCTCTATCTCTTCTGCTGAATAAGAAATTGTAGAGAGATATTTCAGATTTTGCTAAATCAGTTTACAAGCTTTGTTCTTTATTTATCATTCCAAATTAAGCCAGAATAAAATATGTTTTTTAATTGCATTGACATAAACTAAGAAACCAATGGGAGTGATTTAGATTTTGAGAAATAGGAAATTAAAATAGAAACTTGGACTCATTTTCATCAACCTTACTGGTTCTAGGGAAGTCATTGTCATTACCTCTCTTGCTGATGATATTTGGAGCCATATCATCCTGTGTCCAGTAGTTACTTGAATTTTAATGGCCATTTTTGAAGCTGTCAGGGTCTTGAACAAATGACTAAGTGATTGTGAGGAAGCATGGCTCCTGCAACTCTACATCTAAGTAGGTTTTGACTTTGAAATAGCAAGTTCATATCTGTTAATTTCTTTATGATTTAGCATGTAAATACTTTCTAGCTGTGATTATGTCCCTTCACTCATTTTTAGAGTGTTTGTCATCAAATAGAGTCTTAGGGAACAGTAAGCATGAAGGGATATACACTCTATTCAAAGACTGCTGGAATCTCATTTGCTCATAATAAATTAATCAGAAAAACTTTCTTCTGTCTACTGTTACATTTTATGTTTTCTGGTAATTTACCAAACTTTGAAAGGATGAATAGGTGTAGAGCAATGAGAGTCTAATTAGGAAAAAGAGGTATGGAGACATTTTAAATGATTGACGTTCTGTAAGTCGTAATTTAGTTTTACTAAAAAGTCAGAGGCCCAAAAAGTTTAATTTTTTCATGAATGCCCTATTATAAGTAAACATTGAGATGTATATAATTATTAGGGGAGGAGGGCCAAAAGCATCCATCATGATGGAAGAAAGGACTATCAAAACGATTCTACCAGAATTCTATCCAGATTATGAACTCTAAGCAAGTATAACTTTTTTTTTAGTAATGACCTTAATTACTACTCTCAGTTTCCCAATATTATAAAATTGACTTGTTCTTTAAGAATCATTTAGATACATAAAGCTTTGTGGGAACCTATGTATGTAGAAACAACAGCTAGAGAGAGAGATTGAAATATTTTTGGTTCTCTTAAAAATTAATGTTTTATTTTTTTTCTTCTGATTCCAGCATCTTCACAACTATTTCACAGTGACTCTTGGAATTCCTGCTTGGTGTTCTTATGTCTTTTTCGTCATAGCCACCTTGGTTTTTGGCCTTTTTATGGGTCTGGTAAGAGATAATACCAAACTTTTTCTATCTTTAAGGCAAAATGAATTTCATGTACAAATAAAAGGCAGCCAAGAAAGAAAAAGCACATAAAAAATAGTATTTTGTGCAATCTAAGTAGTTAAATAGCATTTGCTTGTTTGAGACTGCTTTCAATGGTAATGTGAGATATAACAGAAAATTTATTAAATTCTTATCCCCTAATCCTATCCCTTAAGTATTTTGAAGATGTGTACTGCCTATAGACAGTAATTAAAAAAAAAAAAAAAAAGAGACCTTACTAGAATTGATAGTTTCTAAGACAACTGAGTCAGCTGTGATTTCACACATTGCCTGCTTAATTAGAAACACTGTAGTGATAAGGCCAAGGTTTTGAATTTGTTCCTTGTGTAGATGCAAGATTGTTGTTGTTGTTGTTCTTATCCTCCAGTTAAACTAATCCTGACTAGCCGCTTATGCATACACTCTGGTTTTCCTGAGATAGATAATGTAGTTAACACAACACAATTATTCTTTGGGCATGAAAATCAGTATGCAGTATATATCTCCCCAGGTATTTTCTCCCCAGGTATTTCAGGCAAGAGTTGAATAATAAATTTATTTATCTAACTACATAGGCAACTATAAATGTTCAGCATGTTGTACTTCTTGTTATTTTTTATTTCTCTTAACCTAATCTTGATTAGTTTGATTGCATTTTAAACCCTAATTAAACCAAAAAGTTTTTAAAAACCTTTATATTGTATACTAAACACATAGTTCCTAAACACTATAATGGGAATAATTGATGATTACTAAAAATTTATGTCAAAGAACAGACTTTAAGGTAAGATTATCTTAAAGTCTGTCCTTATATTTTATAATGAATTTTGGCTCTTTAGCAAGTTCTTTTTAAAAATGTTAACAATTGACTTATAGTAAGTCACAACCCCAAGAGGCCAAGGAGGCTCGATTTGACTTTTCTATGAACATGCTTAATACATATCATGGCTTATCTTTGAAACTTGGCTCCTGATGTTAACTTCAGGGATAAGAATGGGACTTACTTAGATATCTGTATATGTCCTTCATTAGGTCCTGGGTATGTTCTGTTCTGTTGCATTAATCTTTTTGCTAATTAACATGTCCCCATTGCTCCCGTCTAAAGGGATTTGACACCGGATATAAATAGAATGTGATTGTCTGTGCTTCTCCCATCTGTTGTCTGGTGCGAGATTTTTCTAGCAGTGTATTTTGGGGCTACCATAGTGTGAGGTTCTTGTAGGGGGAAACAGTATGAGGTCCCAGGCGAGTCAATGATGGAGTTATAGGGAATGTAGGTTGTGTGTGACCCTGTTGGAAGACTAGTGAAAATGCTTAGAGTTTTAGAATATTATTTTTGATGTTGACTTTAAGTCCATGAAATTGAGTCAGGCCTGCCTGCCTATGCCTTAGATTCCTTTGGAAACCTAGATTCAGATAATCAGTGTAGAAAGGTTATTGGAGGCTTGGCCTGAAGAAAGGAGAGAGTGATTCTAGCCTGTTCAAGTGATTAAGTGAGATAGACTACCCTTCCTTAATAAGAAAATAACTTTATTTAACAAAATATTATTAACTTTATTAACGAAATAATAATTTCAAAGCATATGAATCATAAATTATAAAAGATTCATACATTTACTGTTAATAAGTTTCCAAAAAATAACAAACACATATCTGTGTTCAAAGTACCTGTTTTAGGCTGGGCACAGTGGCTCAGGCCTGTAATCCTGGCACTCTGGGAGGCTGAGGCAGGTGGATCATTTGAGCCCAGGAGTTTGAGACCAGCCTTGGCAACATGGTAAAACCCTGTCTCTACAAAAATACAAAAATTAGCCTGGCATGGTGGCACACACCTGTAGTCCCAGCTACTCGGGAGGCTGAGGTGGGAGGATCACTTGAGCCCAGGAGTTCGAGGCTGCTGTGAGCCATAATCTTGCCACTGTACTCCAGCCTGGGTGACAGAGCTAGACCCTGTCTCAAAAAAAAAAAAAATATATATATATATATATATACACACACACACATATATATACACACACACACAGAATGCCTTTTCTATAACTGTTAAGTATATTAAAGTAAACACACAACTGCTAGAATTTTTGCTTTTAGTAACCTTTAATTTCTTATGTACTTTCAACTTCTGTTTTGTGAGAGTTACACAATTTGAAACAGCTGCATTCTTATCCCAATTTAAATCACCTATTCCAGAATGACATTTTTGTTAACTTCTAGGATGATAGAAAAGTGTTTGTCAATTGTTTTCATGTCTTAGCCACATAGAGAATATTTACGTAGCATGCCAGGGTAAAGGAATACTGGGGGACAAAGCTGCCTGAGGCTGGCTCTGAATGGCCCAGACTCCTTGAAGGATGACATGTCTGTTGGGAAGCTAGGATCCAAATTTTTTTTTTTTGTAATCTCACCAACTGAGTCAAAATTAAATGAGTAAATTAGATAGACTAAACCTGAGATAAAATTGTTGAGTGTACAATTTTCCAGAATAGAAGAGTAGGATAAATTAAGATGATGGATATGGTAATTACACTGATTTGATCATTATACTGTAATACATGCATTGAAACATCACATTGTACCCCATCAGTATATATAGTTACTGTGTGTCAATTATAAATAAAAAAGAAAAGTCAGAAAGAAACATTATGTCCTAGAATAGCCAGTAAGCATATAACTATCACATTAAAAGGTAAGGTTTTCAAACCTGAATCATTTCAGATGGAATGTTTTTTTTTCTCTTTGTTGTTCAAATTGATTTAATGGCTTAGAGCTTATTGTTCTCCAACCCACCAAGCCTTCCTGCAACTCATTGCCCCACCTCCTGGGTCTCCTCAGTTTGACATTCAGGGCTTTCTCTGGATCCAAGACCCCCATGGAGATCCAACTTAGTTTAGCTTAGAGCAGCCAGGCGGTGCTGCTGTTCTCTCCTGACTGCCCAGGGCATTAAATGCCTCCTCCTTCAAAGTCATCCTCAATCCTTCCCCACCCACAGCTGGCTGTAACATTTGTGAAATGTTCTTCCATTCAATCAGGGGTTACCCGTTGGTGAGGGGCAGCCTATATACAGAGTGGTTTGGTTGTCCAGAATAGTGTATTTAAAAAGACTTGGTTCATAGTGTCTATCTTCTTATACCTGCTTGGTTCATCTATTTATAGTGGGTTCTCTGTAGACTTTTGGCTTTGTGACCACTTTCTAAATTAATATTTTCCTGTATTATGTCACATTTGAAAAGTAGGAAATTCTTAATTATATCCTTGTCTCTTGTGAAGACTTTTGACTAGCTGCTAATTATTAGTCTAAGAATATCTGATTATAGAAGCAAGGCCTAATTTTGAGGTCCTTTGGTAATAAATGTCCTATCTATTCACTGTAAAATCACTTTTTTCCTTCCAGGTCTTGGTGGTAATATCAGAATGTTTCTATGTGCCACTTCCAAGGCATTTATCTGAGCGTTCTGGTAAGTACGATAAGCTCCTGTGATCTAGAGTGTTTTTGGAATTCTGTGATGTGCCTTTTTGTGCTCATATAGATAGTGGGTTTTCTCTGTGATTTACTAGGTGACCAAATAATCACTACCAAATTTCTTAAAATGTGTTTTCTAGGTAGATTTGAACAAAATTATTTTTCTCCCTTTCTTAAATTAGGAAATATTTCATTTTGGCAATTGCTTTTTCTTTTTAAGTATGTGCTCTTCATTAATCAGTGTCATATTTTCCTTTATTCTAACTAGAACTAGAAGGGAAGAAGGGAAACTCAATATATATTGCTTCTGCTGTGTGCTAGTAACTCTTCTAAGTCCTTTAAAAGCAGTCTTCCCAAATCCTTGCACTGCTCCACACTTCTTCTGGGGCCAGGTGCCTCTGGATTTGCATGTCTTTATTCCAGACTATTTTTGAGACTGCATAAAGATGTTCATGAGACTTTCTAATTGTTGAATTTTATGTGGGAGTTTAAATAAGCTCATGTTTCTTTTTAGTTCTTGAAGTTTTTGAGGCTTTGAGACTTCCATTGATAATTTGAAAAT
This sequence comes from Homo sapiens, assembly GCF_000001405.40. Taxonomy (NCBI): domain Eukaryota; kingdom Metazoa; phylum Chordata; class Mammalia; order Primates; family Hominidae; genus Homo; species Homo sapiens. The sequence goes on along the minus strand of NC_000020.11, from coordinate 7,983,226 downwards.
ATGATTCTTAGATTTCTTAAAAGTAATAGAAACCCAATATCAAGGATTTTAGGAAAACAAATGAAAATTTATTAGCTCACATAACTGAAAAGCCCAGGGACATTCTAGCTTCAAGCACGGCCCAAGTGATGTTAGGTTTCTCTGTCTGTGTGGCTTATTCATAAGAGCTGTTGATAGTCCTTGCGCATTTTCTCTGTTTAAAAATCCCTGAAGAAAAAGAGGCTGTTTCTCCTGACTCTGGCCCAGAACCTCTGTGGAGTACTTTGAGTGGCTTAGCATGTCACATTTCTGAACCAATCACCATGACCAATAGGGTCACTGAGCTTTCTACAAGACACAAAATACCGAGCGTAAAGGACCCTTTGCCCTTGCTGCCCACATGCCCTGCTGAAGTCATTATGGTCCATGAAATCTCCAGAGACAGGTGGAGAAGCCCTAAATGGGGCTAGGATGCCAACCAGAGAATCTGTCCTATATGACCATAGTTTCAAGATAGAAAAAACTGTCACTTACCCTCTATTTTTATTTCACAGCTAAACACACTCAATTGATTACCGAATTACCATTGTTTATTCAGAGGATATTCCTCTTTCTTCCCTCCATAGAGCAGAATCGGAGATCAGAGGAGGCTCATAGAGCTGAACAGTTGCAGGATGCGGAGGAGGAAAAAGATGATTCAAATGAAGAAGAAAACAAAGACAGCCTTGTAGATGATGAAGAAGAGAAAGAAGATCTTGGCGATGAGGATGAAGCAGAGGAAGAAGAGGAGGAGGACAACTTGGCTGCTGGTGTGGATGAGGAGAGAAGTGAGGCCAATGATCAGGGGCCCCCAGGAGAGGACGGTGTGACCCGGGAGGAAGTAGAGCCTGAGGAGGCTGAAGAAGGCATCTCTGAGCAACCCTGCCCAGCTGACACAGAGGTGGTGGAAGACTCCTTGAGGCAGCGTAAAAGTCAGCATGCTGACAAGGGACTGTAGATTTAATGATGCGTTTTCAAGAATACACACCAAAACAATATGTCAGCTTCCCTTTGGCCTGCAGTTTGTACCAAATCCTTAATTTTTCCTGAATGAGCAAGCTTCTCTTAAAAGATGCTCTCTAGTCATTTGGTCTCATGGCAGTAAGCCTCATGTATACTAAGGAGAGTCTTCCAGGTGTGACAATCAGGATATAGAAAAACAAACGTAGTGTTGGGATCTGTTTGGAGACTGGGATGGGAACAAGTTCATTTACTTAGGGGTCAGAGAGTCTCGACCAGAGGAGGCCATTCCCAGTCCTAATCAGCACCTTCCAGAGACAAGGCTGCAGGCCCTGTGAAATGAAAGCCAAGCAGGAGCCTTGGCTCCTGAGCATCCCCAAAGTGTAACGTAGAAGCCTTGCATCCTTTTCTTGTGTAAAGTATTTATTTTTGTCAAATTGCAGGAAACATCAGGCACCACAGTGCATGAAAAATCTTTCACAGCTAGAAATTGAAAGGGCCTTGGGTATAGAGAGCAGCTCAGAAGTCATCCCAGCCCTCTGAATCTCCTGTGCTATGTTTTATTTCTTACCTTTAATTTTTCCAGCATTTCCACCATGGGCATTCAGGCTCTCCACACTCTTCACTATTATCTCTTGGTCAGAGGACTCCAATAACAGCCAGGTTTACATGAACTGTGTTTGTTCATTCTGACCTAAGGGGTTTAGATAATCAGTAACCATAACCCCTGAAGCTGTGACTGCCAAACATCTCAAATGAAATGTTGTGGCCATCAGAGACTCAAAAGGAAGTAAGGATTTTACAAGACAGATTAAAAAAAAATTGTTTTGTCCAAAATATAGTTGTTGTTGATTTTTTTTTAAGTTTTCTAAGCAATATTTTTCAAGCCAGAAGTCCTCTAAGTCTTGCCAGTACAAGGTAGTCTTGTGAAGAAAAGTTGAATACTGTTTTGTTTTCATCTCAAGGGGTTCCCTGGGTCTTGAACTACTTTAATAATAACTAAAAAACCACTTCTGATTTTCCTTCAGTGATGTGCTTTTGGTGAAAGAATTAATGAACTCCAGTACCTGAAAGTGAAAGATTTGATTTTGTTTCCATCTTCTGTAATCTTCCAAAGAATTATATCTTTGTAAATCTCTCAATACTCAATCTACTGTAAGTACCCAGGGAGGCTAATTTCCTTAAAAAAAAAAAATCTATCCATCTACTTCTCTCTTACCTGATTTATGTGTTAGAATAAATTCATGAAATTCGATTCCAAGCATACGAAAGATGCCTAAAGTTGATTCTATGCTCCTTAGATCCAGACAGAATAATGAGTACAGGTTTATGAAATTCTAAAAGTTTCTGTCGTCTTTAAAAAGGAACGTGCAGTATATTTCTATCTGGCTGTTTAGATAACCCTTTCCTTGTATTAATTGTGAGCACGGAGCTCACTGGTGGGGGAGGTTCTGAAACTCTCTGCCCTCCTGTGGTTGAATGAAGATGTTGCAAGACTTGCACAAAGGAGGTTATTCTTCTGACAGCATCAACTTTTAGAGATGGTTCTTTTTCATCTTTCCAATTCAGTTACTTGACAGTCTCCTTCCCCAGTATGCTGAAGTTTGTTAAGAGTCACCAGTAATTGTGCTTTTCAGACAGTAGTGCAGCTTCAAAATCGAGGCCATCACTGGGCTGATGGGCTGGGAGAACCTTGCCATGTGCCTGCCTGTTTCCTGCCCCCTTAGTCACTGCCCATTTCCTGCCCCCTTGGTCGCTGACACACCTTCACCCAAAGTGCCATGGTTCTGATGGTGGCAGTTCCATCTCCCTGACATCAGGAAGCTTTTCTCGATCAGAGCAGAGCGGGGCCTGCCTGCCCTCGTGTCACTGGATTTCTTTCTCTTATAATCAGCTGAAACAGAGTTCTCAAAGAACAGTAAACTCAGGTTCAGAGGTATTATGGAATAAGAATGGTTTCATAGTTTGGCTTTTCTATATAATTCCTCCCTCTCAAACTGAAATATTCATTTTTTTAGTGGAGTATTTGACTAGAGAGAAGGTAAGGCAGAAATACAGTCTACACTGGCTTTTAAAAATGTAAAGCCAATTTCCAACCGGACCCCAAATAGTACAGGTTGAACATTCCGTTCCAACAATCCAAAACCCCAAATGCTCCAAAATCTTAAACTTTGAGTTCCAGCATTCCGTCAGAAGTGGAAAATTTTACACCTGACCTCATTTGACAGGTGGCAGTTACAGTGCAATCAAAACTTTGTTCCATGCCCAAGATTATTAAAAATATTGGATAAAATTACCTTCAAGCTATGTTGTATAAGGTGTATATAAAACAAATGAATTTTGTGTTTAGACTTGGGTCTACTCCCAAGATACCTCATTATATATATACAAAAATCCCCAAATCCAAAAACATTTGAAACACTTCTGGTCCCACACATTTTGGATAAGGGATATTTGACCTATATCTAATTATATAATAAGAAAAATGTATTTTCTTTTTTTTTTTTTTTTGAGATGGAGTTTCACTCTTGTTGTCGCCCAGGCTGCAATGGCACAATCTTGGCTTACTACAACCTCCGCCTCCCTAGTTCAAGGGATTCTCCTGCCTCAGCCTCCCAGGTAGCTGGGATTACAGGCATGTGCCACCATGCCTGGCTAATTTTGTATTTTTAGTAGAGACGGGGTTTCGCCATGTTGGTCAGACTGGTCTTGAACTCCTGACCTCAGGTGATCCGCCCGCCTCAGCCTCCCAACGTGCTGGGATTACAGGTGTGAGCCACCGTACCTGGCAGAAAATGTACTTTCTTTCTCAGAAATACTTTTAAAAAAAATTGAAGGGTGAGGAGAAAAACATCTTGGAGAAGAGGACCCATTAAAACTTTAAATATCTGTGGGAACCATTTTTCCTGATTTTCCCTTTTTTAACATCATGGCAAAGATGGGTTTTTTTCCAACAAAATTTAATTTAATATCTTTCCACTTGAAGATTTTAGGTTTGTTTTCAATACTTAATGAATATAAAACTAAAGGAGAAAAGCCAACCTGAAATAATTTAAACTTTATATGAACATTTCGATAAGAGTTTGTGGATTTTTTCTGTAGATAATATATTTGATCCGGAACTCAAGTGCATGGAAACATGATTTTGATTTTTAAAATCTAAAAAAAAAAAAAATTAAAATCATGCTTCCCTCTATTGCAGTATCAGTTATTTAGTCACAGAATGGTATTTTATGTAAATTAAAATTAGGTGAATGCAATGCAGGTAACTGGTTTTGGAATGGGAATGTGCAGTGCTTTATGTTTGGGGAGTTGGAGCAGGGTATCTTTTCATCAATTAGAAGGAAAGTTTGAAACTTCTGATTACCTTTATGTTGGTTTCTCTTATTATTTGTCTCTTGCTAGATCTGCTAAACCAACCCAGCTTGCTCAGAGATCTCATATTGAAGCAACATACAGGCAATCCACATCTTTCTTTCCCTTTGAAGTATAGTCATTGGATGGGATGAGGGACAGGGCCTGTTGGGTTCACAGGGCCTTGCACTGCATGGGCACATACTTAAAAGCTCTTGTGCATGGAATCCCTGTCTGTTAGCCACAGGCCTCTTTAGCTCTATACATTCAAAATAACTACTGTAGTAGAAAATAGATAAGCTTCAGCTGAGTTGGCTTTTGATAGTGGAAAAAAAACAAAATTTGACTTTTTATGGCCAAAATTCCTTGTTGACAGCTGTGATGTTCTAATATGATTTGGGAATATGTCAGTCTACAGAACCTGCATCCTGTAAAAACACCTTTGGGGTAGACGATAAAAGTCATTTTTAAGGCAAATACTTACCATGTGACTTTTTATTACCAAATGCATCAGTAGTGGAGCTGGTATGTTGTTTCATAGGATGGAAACATTAGAAGTCCAGAGAAAAATAAATTTTAAAAAAAGGTGGAAAAGTTACGGCAAACCTGAGATTTCAGCATAAAATCTTTAGTATGAAGTGAGAGAAAGAAGAGGGAGGCTGGTTCTGTTGCTCGTATCAATAGGTTATCTGTGTCCCTCATCTTGGTGTTACAGTGTTATTTCTGTCAGTATTATGAATATGTGGTTGACCCATCCTGTCAAATGTACCAACATTTTCGAAAGAATTCATTCAAATCTCTTATGCCAACAGAAAAGTTCCTTCTTGTTTAATATCTCTTTACCTCAGTCCTACATTTTGATTCTCTGGAGGAGATTTTAGCTTGTCTTAAAAAGCCAAATTTGGAGTCATCAAGCCTGCTGAACCTGATGGGGCAGCTTTTTGAACAGCTTTCTGGAAGTAAGAACTTCAGTTGAAAAGCCCTTTGATCGCTTCAGCCCGGGACATGCCCTTCAGATGGCTTATTCTCAGTAAAGCTTTATGTAGACTGTGACACTGTATATGTGTGACTCGTACAACTTTGACGTGTTTCTGAAGTGGTTTAATCGTATTTGTTATTAGCTTCTTTGTGGAAATGCAATTTTTATACTAAAAACATTGCTTATTTGCAATGCAATATGTTATAAATTTGTTGTTTATATTACTGGTATTAGTCTTAGCCTAATGAACCTAATTATTTTTCTTTCTGTATTCTTTGCTTCCTCAAATAGCATCTGCAGCAATTGGAATGAGAAATCCAGATATGTGTTTCAAGTAGTACATTGCCTGAATCACAAATCACTTGATCACAGTATTGTATATAATCCCTGATCCTATTTGTTTCATTTTATTGTAAATTCCCATTTGCATCAAAACCTAATGATAGTGATTGGTAAGTAAAAACAAATGGTGTATTGCTTTTCATACAAGTGTTTTCACAAAAGCCATTTGCCTAGGCAGCAAAAAATATTAATTTGTTAAAAAAAATTTTCCTTCGTGTCCATCCTCCATCTAGTCTGTTCATTCATTCTCTCTCTTTCTCCCTTCCTGACTCGGTGAAACTCAGACCATGTGCCCTTTAGTTGCTCTGGAAAGTGCACAAAACCAAGGCAGGGTCCAAAGATCCAAGGCTCTTCCAGCCAGTGTGTTGCCATCAGAAACCTCTGGGGTCTCCCTCTGTCCTGAGGTCTTGGGGTAGCCAGATGGCAAGGGATGCTACTAATCCCCCAAGACACTGTGGATTGGTCTTGTCTTTGGGGCTTTCAGAAAACTCCCTTCTACACCTAACTCTCCCCACCACTATAGTGGAAAAGCATCAAGGTGGTAAGGTGGGTCCTTGAAACACCCTCAGAGACTGAAACAATGGAGATTGGATTTTTGTCTTTTGGAAGATGGTGGGGGATGTGTGTAGTGAGAAGACAGTTACTAAACCTGCATACCACCAAGGCCCTCCCTCAGAGATACTGGCTCAGAATGCTTATTTGCCTATACAGAGAAAAATGTCTGTCGTGCTGTCTGCCTAGATGACTTTGGTTATTCATCCTTGCCTATAGCAAAATGCAGCTTTCAAGCCAACAACACTGAATTACAAATTTAACCCCCTGCTTTGCTCTAGTCTTGAATGCTCTTTGGAACATATTTCACAGTAATAGAAATTCTTTCTTGGAACATGTGAGCTTCTTGAGATTGATAACTGTATTACGACAGTCCAGCCTGTGCTAACAGACCCGCAAATCTCGGGGGCTTTAAGAACAAGAATTGTATTACTGATTCACATAGCCCAGGCCAGGCATCCCAGGCAGGCTCTGTCCCATGCAGGTTTTTCTGGGCCTCAAGGTCAAGGGAGGCTTTGCTGTTTAACATGTGGCTGCTGGGCCGGGCATGGTGGCTCACGCCTGTAATCCCAGCACTTTGGGAGGCCGAGGGAGGTGGATCACCTGAGATCAAGAGTTTGAGACCAGCCTTAGTAACATGGCGAAACCCTGTCTCTACTAAAAATACAAAAATAAGCCAGGCGTAATGGCAGGTGCGTATAATCCCAGCTACTCAGGAGGCTGAGGCAGGAGAATTAATTGAACTCGGGAGGCAGAGATTACAGTGAGCCGAGATCATGCCTTTGCACTCCAGCCTTGGCAACAGTGCGAGACTCCATCTCAAAACAAACAACCAAAAAAACGTGGCTGCTAAGGTGGCTGTGATCATTTCCATCCCAGTCAGTCAGAGGAGTAAGAGATGGAGGAACATTGCTGAGAGATTTTAAAGCGAGGCTGCCACACGTGCATCATTTATGTTCACATTTCCTGTGAGAGGACTTAGTCACAGGGTCATACCTAACTTAAAGGAAGACTAGGATGTGTAATCTTGCTGTGTGCTTAAGAACAAAGGGAACTTGAGAGCTAGCAATCTCTTGCCACAGTGACTTTTTCTTGCCCACCTTTGTGAGCCTAGGACCTTCTATAGAGTAAGCTCCTGGGACATAGTATGAATGCACATATGGCAGGAGAGGGCAGAGTACATATGGCCCCAGTGCTGGAGGTCTTCCTGCTGGACTTGACCACTGTGGCTCTTCAAGGTACCAGAGTTTTCAAACTGAGAATTGTCATTTCATGGAGTTTGTATTTTACTTGGGAAGGTGAATATTAGCAGGAAAAGAGTTACAAGTGAAAAAGTTAACAAATGCTATATGAGTTTATAAAAAGGAACCTGACCTAGGTTGAGGGTGTAGATGGTATGTGTGACCAGGAGGGCTAATTAGGGGCTGTGGAGGCTGAGGTGGTGTGGGACCCCTTAGGCACACACAACCAAACTGTAAGCAGCATGTATGGAAACAGAAGATAGCATGTATCTCAAAGAGAATGTCATGGTAGATTCTTGCCCTCATTTTCTTTTTTTTGAGGGAGGGATGGAGGCACAGTTTCTTACTAATCTTTGCATGAGCTTTTTCTCATTTCAATATCTTTGATATCCCAATCAGTAGGCTGGGCACAGTGGCTCAGCCCTGTGATCCCAGCACTTTGGAAGGCTGAGGTGGGTGGATTGTTTGAGTTCAGGAGTTCAAGACCAGCCTGGGCAGCATGACGAAACTCCGTCTCTACAAGGGATACAAAAATTAGCCGGGCTTGGTGGTGCCTGACCTTTAAAAGGCTAATCATGTGAATCTCCAAGGATAAGTTTAGTTTCTAGCATTTCCAAACTTACTTGAAAAGTGATATTGTGAAATACATTATTTGAAAACCATCCCACTACAAAAACTAGAAATGCTGGCTAAAATATAACCAGTATCTTTTTAAAGATAGAACTGAGCTCAAAAGAGAGTAAGAAAAATTCACAAAGCCAAAAACCAAGAGGTCAATAAATATGACCTGATATTGGAACTGCCACCAGTGGTGGTGGAGAGAGCAGCTGCTCCCTTAGGTAACCAGAGAGAGTATGTTTTATTGTCCGTGTAGGTATAGGATGCAAAAGCCTTGACTATAGCCAAGTTAGAAAGCTGGAACTGAAACATAAAATTCCCAGCTACATCCTTGGTGAAATAAAAAAATCTCACTAGAACATAGACACTTCAAGAAACCTTTTCTGTCTTGGCCTGGTCTATGTGTTGAAAAATAATAGACTTCCCTAAGAAATCACAATCAATGGTCTGACCTTACACAACTTGGAGTTTGAATTTACAGTAGCTTCATAGTCTCAAAAGGACCTAAACCAAAACAATTCTCATAAAAAGGCTAATGGGGTCGGCGGGATGTGTACATGGTGGGGCGGCGGGGTGGATATACTAGCAGAAGCAAGCACAGAGCTGCTGTTGAAAACACCCTCAGTCTGGCTTAAAGATTCCCATAGATGAAGTCTCACTTAAAATAAACTTGTAATTCAAAGTTACAAATCACACAAGGAAACTGTTTATCAGATAGCAAGGTGAGACTTGCCTAAATCCTTTGGATAAAACTGTTAAATAGAAGTTTTAAATTAAAGGAAAAATAAGCATGTAACACATAACACAAAAGAATTAGGCACTTTTTTTCCCTCAAAATAGTGTATTTTAGGTTCATCCATCTTGCATGTGTCAGTAGTTCAATTCTTTTTATTAGTGTGTAGTATTTCATTGTATAAATATTCAATGTGTTGCTTATACCTTCCACTGTTGACAGACACAGAGAGAGTTTCTAGTTCTTAGCTGGTCCTTTGAATATTTTGATTGTGAGGCATTCCCTGGACTATTTTACTAAATCTTTGGGAGAAATGCCAAAATGTTAGAAATATATTCCTCAGGATTTTCCAAGATTTGTTCTTGTATCATCAGAAAGCAACATATATTACCCTAGCAAGGAGCAGATGTTTGAGAACACAAACACTAGAACGAGTCTTCCTGGGGTTGGATCCCAGGAAGACTCTGGGATCTGCCACTTGCCAGCGGTGTGAACTTGAGTAAGTTACCCAACTTCTCTGTGCCTCATATTTGCAATGGGGATAATAAAAGACTTCCACATCCACTAATGAAGGTCTAGACGATTTTAACCACCTCTCCCAATGAAGACAACTAGGAAAGCTGAATTTAAAATATATGTATAGCTACACACTTGAAGGCATCAAAGTATACAAGATGATGAAGGATATCAGGCCAAGATCTAGGAGAAATTGTAAGGTCAGGAATGTGATCCTGTTGTTTGGGGCTGTTTTTCTCCTGAGGGCATTTACTGTTCCTGGAGTAGGGGTAAGGGGTGTGTTGAGAGGCTGAGTGATGGTTATGAGGGCTTTGTCTTCTGAGGGGACAGGGATTGGCTAAGGATGGGAGGGCCTGTGAAGGACTCACATTAGGAATAAGGATGAACCATAAGTCAGCAGACCCCACAGACACTGAAACTCAGCCTTGGTCTATCCAACTTCTGAAATCAGAATGATGTAATCCTGGAAGTAAGTGTAAATGCTGGGGGAAGTTAACTGGTAGAGGTTGAGTTCCTAGGTTGGATGGTGGGTTTTCTACCTTTTTTTGCTATGAGATAGAAAGCCATAGTTTTAGTAAATCCTGAGGTTCATAAAGCTTTATCATTGTGGACTATCGCATTCAAAGGACTGTAATCTAGCTATCAAAAGTGAAAATTGACTCCTTATTTTTCTTTCATTCTTTGCCTCTTTTAGTCCCCAAAGCTATCCTCCTGCTCCACTTCCCCTCTTTTTGTTTTTATGCCTGAAATTTCTCTAGGGTGTTTCCAAAGTGCAAACACTAATTGTTCTCTTTTCCTAACCACTCTCCTCTTACCTACTACTCCTCCGTCTTTACTCCTGAGAGAAAGCTCCTTTCTCCACAGTTCCCTTCTAACAGATATCCCATCTCTGCTTATAAGATTCTTCTCACTGCATAATAAAGCCATGGAGCTCCAGGAAAGTAGTAAATACCAAAATGGCATTGCCAGAATTTTCCTTGACTGGGGAGGAGGTGGGTGGGAGGCCATGAATATCCATGTGTCAAAAAGAGCTGAGCCTATGTGTCTATTACACTTTACATCTGCTGCCCCCCAACTTCTCTAATGTATACTGGGTAGATCAAAATTCCTGTCAGGCACTTCGCAAAGAAGTTCAAGCTTAGCTTCCTCCACCAAAATTCATCATTGTCCTCTCTGCAAACATTGTAGGCAGAGAATGGGAGAACTCCCTGATGGCCAACATATTACATTTAGGATTTAATGACACTCTCCCTCCCCCTTCCCCATTTGGAGACTTTCTAGTCCTCTCCTCCAGTCCCCATTCCTCGGGTAAAGAAAGATGATTTAGTATTAAATACCCTCAGGGTGGAAACTATCACTAGATGCTCCTCTTCTCCACGATAGAAGTAAACACCAATCATGTCCAGTCCTCCCAGTTTGGCTAGGCAGACAGGGGTGACCCTCATGTGGACTCATCCATGTTGAGTTCTTAAAATCTCTCATTGCAGGAAACCTGCTTGCCCTGGAGGCAAATTGGTGCCCAGTCTCCAAGAAGAGCTCTCTGTGGGCCCATGCTTGGGATTTGGATCCTGCTTATGTTCACCCTTATAAAAAGACTAACGAAGATGGAGTGTCTTTACTATGACTTCTAGCTCCCTAAATCTGCTCAAAGCCTCCAGTGTGAGCCCCATTAGATGGTCTTGGAGGCGTTACATTTCATTCATTGTCCTCCTCAGGTTAGGTCATCTTCACCAATAATGAGAGGTCATATGACTCTTGCTTCAGGATTAAAACCCAGAAAATCATGGCTTGCTCACCCATCTGCTCCAACCAGGACATTTGCCAAGCCTCCTTCCATCACTCCTGGCAGACATTCCACCTTAGGAATTCTTTTAGCCACTTACTTCTTATGGCTACATCCTCTCAGAAACATCTATAACATGAATGGCAGCTTTTCTAGCTTTAACTTTATAAATTGCCCCTGGTGTAGGATAGTAGGTGCTGCATTTCTTATTTTTGTGTCCATACATCTTATAACATTTTAGTGCAATGCTCAAATCACAACTCAAGGTTTTTTGATTTGGCCCTTCCTTGGCCTGTTATTTTCCACAAATTTCTCAAGTTTCTGGGAGCTATTAGCCTGCTGCAACAGTTCCAAAGCCTGGTTGAAGTTGACTTCCATGGCAGCAGCCAGATGCCTTTGGAATGAATGTGCTCAGCACAGTAGGGCAGGCAGCGGATTTGACTGCTCCAAGCAGGATTGACACTGGCTGTCTGCCTCTGTTAGGGATGCAATGTATGTTCTTGAGAAATGAGAGGGCCACTGAAGCTGTCTTAAACTTAATGTCAAGTTTGCAGTTTCACAAGGGATATTTTTCTTTTAAAGATAATCTCAATTTTACTGCATTATGTTTGTTTCATAAGTCTGATATTCAAATTGGAACCATGCGTCTGTCCTCCTCCCTACCAAATTACAGTTTTTATTTTATCAAAGCCTCAACCACATTGCTTGGGCTTTCTGGAGTTATAAGAACTCACTCTTAATTTCTCATTTATTTATTCTGTTGTTCCAAGAGTCTGGTTTTCATGCCAAGTATACACTATTGACTCAGGTAATAATTTAAATCAAGGTGCAATTGGGTATCACAACATACACTCAAAGACCTGTGGATTCATGTCTAGAATGTAACCCATCTAAATTCCATGATTCTTCATGGCCCAGTATTTCTAGCCCATGAAACTCAGCCCAGGAGCCAGAAACATAAATTATTTTATCTCTGGAAAAATAATGAGAGTCTAATTTATTATCTAGACTAACATTTCTTAAAAGCTCCATGCATTTCTTTTATTATTCTACTCTCTCATACATGGGTCCCTGGGGCTATTCTTCGACTTCTACCTTCTTTCCTATTCTCCATTTTCTTCCCTCACAAACTTTCCCTTCCATGCTTTTTGCATAAGCTCTTGCTTTTTTCCTTCTCCTTCTCTTTCAAGCCCAATTTTTCTCCTTTTGTAAGTCTCAACCTTTTCCACTACAAATATTTCTATTTTTCTCTTTCCTCTTTACCTGACTGCCCTGAGTTTGTATAATAGGTTCAAAGGGTAGGTGGAGCGGACGAAGGAAGAAACAGGAGAAAGCTATGTTATTCCTTGCTGAGGCCAGGAGGAAATCATCAAACACTTACAAATTAAAGCTGATATAATTTGTTACCTCTGTGGACTATATTTTTGCTGACTACCTCACCATCACCATCTTTGGGTCTTCGATCTAAAACCAGAAATAAGACAATTGTTCTTCTTTCCTTCCCCAACATTTACTTATAGCAAGTTCACATTTGAGTGAAAGATGTTATACTGAGTTTCCAAGTTAGTGACATTAATTCCATTCAGTTTTTCCTGTATGCCCAGAAGTGAGTTAACCTTGAGGGTGTAGAAAAAGAAAATCTCACACTTGCTGCTCCAGCATAAGAAAAGAATTGTCCTTCTGCCACTTTTTTTCTCTCCATGTCACTGTCATAATGTTACAAAACAAGAGTATGGAATGGCCAAGGTATTTAATTCTGAAAGCAATTTAATTTTATATGTAAAAATTTATCCAGAGGAATTAGTTCGTCTCATTTCATTCTTGTGTACTCAAGGAAATAGCCTTCCAGTCACAGAGATCATTCTTAATTAGTTTTCTTTTTTGTAAAAGAAAAAAATCTAAAGCCAATGGGATATTCGAGAAGACTTATTGTGAAAGTTTGCACAAGTGCGGGCTGATTCTTTAGAGCTACAACTTCTCTAGTTTAGCTAAAATTCAACAACGACTTCTATTCTCGACATAACTCAGTGAACACAGAAAGATTGAGAGTTCTTGTAAAAATTTCTAAAACATGCATTGCTGCATCATTTGACAAAAAAATAAAAAGAAAGAAAGCACTTAGGCTGAAAGACTAGAATATGTCTCAATTTACAGTAACCGCCATAAAATAATAATTTATGAAGCCTTCTGAATTCTGATTTCCTGAACCAACTCAGTGTTTTCTGCTATAAACTTAACCATGAGATTTACAGATTTGTTATTACCTAAGTGTGGCACCATTTCAAAATCCTCAGAAACTCTCATAATTTACCTTTGGACTGGAAAATAGCTCTTTAATGATGAAAAATGAATACTTTGAGCTTTTCTGTTATAATAATCCAACTGAAAATTGCTACTTAACAATTTTTTTGGAAGTGTAATGCCAGTTGAAGATACTGTCTTTTGAAATGTGTTTTGTGAAAATTATGATAACGTGAGTGGTTTGATTTAGATTCCTGTGTTCTGTAGAAGCAGCCTGGTGTGAGCACTACCTTTGAGTCAGAACACTTAAGGTCTCCCTCGACTTACCCACTACTTGCATAATACTATGTAAATCATTTAACCCTTCTGTTCAGAATCCAAGCTATCTATGGCTTAGTATCCAAATTAATCTGACTTGATTATTCCACAGTCTTCATCAACATAATTTTATTATTCCAGAAAACACTTGATCAGAAAGATGAAAGTTACAAATAACTATATTGTGTTTTCTCCAGAAGCTTTCTAAAAGACTAATCAGACTTTTCAATAGAAGGCATCAAATGATACTGTTCAAGTTTTTTTGCCTTACAGTGTTCACTGATCCTACGCTATTGTACTCTGATCCTTACCCAGGCCTAACCAATCCTCCTGCCACTCTCAAAGAAATACTTAAAGGAAACTTCCAAATATCAATAAATCTCCCAATTTTGCTATTCCTCCCTCTGAGATACAATTAAGACTGTTGAGGTAGTGCTGTGATACCGTAGTAATCTATAAGCTCAACTTTGTCCTATGAATAGGTTGTTGTAGGGAGATTCTGGGAAGCCAGCATTGGACACGGGGCTCAGTAATTTTTATTTATTAAATGATATTGTTGGACTACACTGGTGGTTCTCAATTGGGATTTTATACTAGAATAACTTGGCTTTTAAACGTTACAGATAATTTATTTCAGAATTATTTCACAATCCCTTGAGCAAGGTGAGCCTCTAAGGATGTGACTGCAGTCCCATAGGATTCCATGCCCAGAAGGGCCCAGAGCTGTGCTTAGATGCTATGTTGTTGGTGTTATTATATTTTATTAGTATTATTGAGATAAGATCTCATTTTGTCACCCAGGCTGAATTGCAGTGGTATAATTGTGGCTCACTGTAGCCTCGACCTCCTGGGCTCAAGCAATAACCCTCCTGCCTCAGCCTCCGGAGTAATTGGGACTACAGGCACGTGCCACCACGCTCGGCTAATTTTTGTATTTTTTGGTAGAGATGGGGGCTCGCTATGTTGCCCAGGCTGGTCTTGAATTCCTGGGTTTCAGCGATTCTCCCACCTTGGCCTCCCAAAATATTGGGATTACAGGCATGAGCCACCATGCCCTGCATTTTCACTTTGCATGGAGCTTGCAAATTATGTAGCTGGCCCTGCTTTCTGGAGATAAAGCATGAACATTTTTTACCTCTTCAAGTGATTTTAATGTGCAGCCAGTGTTAAGAAACGGGACGAGGACTTCTCATTGAGCTATAAAACACAACAGTAATACAGCTGGCATTTATTGAGTGTTTTATATGCACTATCTCATTATGAGATGAGATTTGAACCCCAAAAGTCTTAGTTCTCAATCTGTGTGCCAAATCATTATTGCAGTCACACATTGCTTAATGATGAAGACACATTCTGAGAAATATGTCATTAGGCAATTTTATTGTTAAGAACATCATAGAGTGTACAAATCTATATGGTAGACCCTACTACACACTTAAGCTATATGTAGCCTATTACTCCTAGTCTACAAACCTGCACACCATATTAGTGTGCTCAATACTGTAGGCAATTGTAACACAATGTTATTTGTTTATTTAAATGTATCCAAACATAGAAAAGGTTTTGTAAAAATATGGTATTATAATCTTATGGGACCACTGTCATATATGAGCTCTGTCTGTATGTGTGCTGACCAAAACATTGTTTTGCAGCACCTGACTATATATTGCCTCTGTTGAGGAATGGATTCCTTAAGCCAATACGTACTGAATGCATCTATCTTGATTTGCTATTGCTGCAGTAACAAATTTTCACAAGTTTAGTGGCTTAAAATAACCCAAATTTATTATCTTACAATTCTGGAAGTCAGAAGTTATGAGTCTTAGGCAGCTAAAATCAGAGTGTCAGTAAATTGCATTCCTTCTGGAGGCTTCAGGGAAGAAATTGGCTCTTCCAGCTTCTAGAGACTGCCAGCATTCTGTGGCTTGTGTTCTATCATTCCAATCTTTACTTTCAGCATTACATCACATCCTGGGCTCCTGCCTCACCCTCCTGAGTAGCCGTAACTACAGGCACATGCCACCATGCCCGGCTAATTTAAATTTTTTTTTTTTTTTAGAGATAGGAGGTCTCATTTTCTTGCCCCAGCTGGTGTCGAGCTTTAAGGCTTTAAGGGATCCTCCTGCCTTGACCTCTTGTACTGCCAAGATTACAGGCATGAGCCACCATGCCTGGCTGACTTAAGTTTTTAAGTTTCATCATCTGGTCATTAGTTCAAATGAGAGAGGATGAGGCTTGGATGAGGATGGTTGAAATTCACACGCTATTTAATGGTGGGAATTGGGATATAATTTCATGTTAAAACAAATAGGACTTTTTACTGAATTAGATGTCCATGATGAAAGGGAAAAGAATTAGTAATGTTTCCTAGGTTTTGGCTTGTGCATCATGGGTGAATGATCATGAAAGATGAAATTATTAGATTAAGCTACTGTTAGAACTGAATATCTTATTTTGTATTTCCATCAGACATCTACAACTGATAGGGTTGTAAAATAGCTCAAAGATAATGACAGATAAGTATCAGATAATCTGGAGTGTTGTGATCTAAACAATCGTAATTTTCCATTGAATCACATACATATTTTTTTCCTACATATAGATACTCTCTGTGAAGGAATATTTATCAGAAATCTATGGAACCTAGTTTGGGAAACTACTTTGGAAGTTGTTGCTTTTCTGTAAGTGTGCCAAACAAAGGCGGTGAAAAAAAGGCAGATAGACTGATAGATTATGTGCCTCACTAGTCAAATTTGAATTCCAAGTACTGCTCATTTTGTATGTATCTAAACATTTTGAGACCTTACATATCCTCTATGTGCAGGAACCATTTATTAATAATATTATTATATTTTTTCAGCAGTAGATAACTCCAGACTAGAAGAATCATAAAAACGCATTTTCTTTCTACTTAGAAATGTTGACTAAAATAAAAATCTGACTATATGACCGTAATTTTTAAGTCCATCACTTTGTATTTCTATGCTTTTTCAACTGTCCATTGAGAAATTGTTTCCTGTAAATTGGAAATGATGCTATCTCTTTTCTGGAAAATACTGATGCCTGTCAATACTGAAACCTTATTAACAGAAACTTTCCTGTTACTGAAAGCTGAAGGGGCAGAATAATTTGTATCATATCTATCCACATGATTTCTGGAAAATCCTATTAAGATAAAAGGGGTAAGAACTGTGAGCTGGCCTGCTTCCCAGTGTTGTCTAACGACTGTCTAACTAAAGAGATAAATGCAGATACTAAAGTGGAGAAAAAGGTAGAAGCGTGTGTGCTGAGGACTTGTGTGAAAACGAGGCTAATGTTATTGTTTCCAGAAGTGACATAAGAGGTCAGAGGGAACAATTGACTTAGATAATATTTTGACAGTTGCTTGATATTGAAAATGTTCGGATAGATTTTTTTTTTTCTAATTCTCTTTCTGCTGCAAATTCACCATATTATTATCAATGTTTCTATTTTGTGTATGATTTTTCTCTCTTAAGGAAGGGGTAAGGTAGAATTCTTAAATCTCTGTTCATTTAAATTTCAGGAGTTATTCCACAGTGGGTAAAGCAAGGCTGAGAAAATAAAAGAGCTGCAAGATTTCTTTTTCTTTCTTTATCTCTCTTTTTTCTTTTTTCTTTTTTTTTTTTTTGAGACAGAGTCTTGCTCCGTCACCCAGGCTGGAGTGCAGTGGCACAATCTTGGCTCACTGCAAGCTCTGCCTCCCGGGTTCATGCCATTCTCCTGCCTCAGCCTCCTGAGTAGCTGGGACTACAGGCACCTGCCACCATGCCCAGCTAATTTTTTTTTTTTGTATTTTTAGTCAGAGACGGGGTTTCGCTGTGTTAGCTGGGATGGTCTCAATCTCCTGACCTTGCGATCTGCCTGCCTCGGCCTCCCAAAGTGCTGGGATTACAGGCGTGAGCAACAGAGCCAGGCCTCTCTTTTTCTTCTAATTGAATAGATAGGTCTTGCTATGTTTCCAAGGCTGGTCTCGAACTCCTAGCCTCAAGGGATCCTCCAGCCTCAGTCTCCCAAAGTATTGGGATTACATATGTGAGCTACCACACCTGGCCCACCAACAGGGTTTTATTATAACATTGTCTCATTGTAACTTGGAAAGAAAGCCAATCATGGAAAAACCTATGATGTGCCTCTGAGTTACCCATTGCTGGGGCTTTACAGAGACATAAAAAATGGAACACCTGAAAAATGGTCTGCTTTTATTTTCTATAACGAAAATAGGTATACTTCCCTGGGTGCTGCATAGAAGTTGACAAGCAGTCTTTGTTTTCCTTATTATAATGAGGCTATTCACATAAGGTAAATTCATAAGAGTTTACAGAACCTTGGACATTCTTTTGTTTTTTAATATCCAGGAGAGATCTGGGATAGTGATGGTCTTATTTAACACATTGAGTCTTTCTTTGAACTTGACAGCTGTTAAATGGGTTCATTAAGAAAAAAGGCCCATTACTCAGGACAGAATCCCATTGGCAGTACCCTGACACAACTGTTAGGGTTAATATCCACTTAGATGCTGGGGTTCAAGGTTGGAATATTTGTCTTGTATCTATCTTTTTGTATAGAGCAGATAACTTCTTCAGTTAGGATTTCAAAATGCAAAGTGACCTGTCTTTGCAGTTGATTAGATATTTTATCTCTTTATAATGTAACAAACTATGAGGTCCTCCATTTTTTTGGCACATGGTTTTATAGGAGGATTTTACAAGGAAACTGGAGGGCAATCCATCATTCTACTCTTGTGGCATCAGAAGCTACATTCTTGGGCACTTCGAATATTCTCACAGTTTCTGTTCCGCCCTCGCTGACAGTGTTTGATTACTTTAGAAAATTTCACTTGAGGCTGGGCACGGTGGCTCATGCTTGTAATCCTAGCACTTTGGGAGGCTGAGGTGAGAAGATTGCTTGAGGCCAGGAGTTTGAGAAAATATTTCAGTTGATAAGAACCAGAACAGAACTGTCAAATCAAGATTTTTCTTATAATATTGAGTATAAAAATCACAGAATATGCACACACATACACACACCCATGCTAGAGAAAACAAACCAAGAATCACTTTTAATGCGTATTTCTGGGATTTTACTCCATGAGACTAATTTCAATGACTTCTAGTATCTCTGGTCTTACAGATACTATATTAGACTATTGCTACAATTAACTTTCAGCTAACCATAAATTACAGCTTACTTTATATGTAAGGTAAACTGCAATTTCATTTATTTGTATATATAAAACATTGTGTGTATAGTATATGTGCATGTATCTATGTATGTAAATATAATATATATCTTGTTGTTAACTTTGTTACATCCTGTCTTGGGCATCACAGTGAACTGAGACCTGGGTCACTGAGGAGCTGCGTTTGGATGCTAGTAAAAGACACCCCAGGCCAGTTGCGGTGGCTCACACCTGTAATCCCAGCACTTTGGGAGGCCGAGGAGGGCGGATCGTGAGGTCAGGAGATCCTGGCTAACACGGTGAAACCCTGTCTCTATTAAAAATACAAAAAATTAGCCGGGCGTGGTGGCGGGCGCCTGTAGTCCCAGCTATTAGGGAGGCTGAGGCAGGAGAATGGCATGAACCCAGGAGGCAGAGCTTGCAGTGAGCCGAGATTGCACCACCACACTCCAGCCTGGGCGACAGAGCGAGACTCCATCTCAAAAAAAAAAAAAAAGACATTCCAAACATATGGGAGGTCATGTTCTGCTGTGTGAAAGAAGTCAGGAGGCAAGCGGTTGGGGGTTTGTATGGCATCTTTGTGGGCCTCAGGACCCAGGATCCTGTCTCTTTCTGCCCTGTCACCTTTATCTCTGGCCCCCACTCTCGTGGAATCTCATCATCCCAAGATGCCGCTGGATCTTTCTGCATTCTGAACAGAAAGAGGAAAGAAGATGGGAAGGGCAAAGAGTGGGCCTCCCAGCCAAGCCAGCCGTCTTAAGTTATTTAGGGGAGTGGCAAGGGGACCGGTGGAAGATGGAGAGCATTTTTAAAATTTTATTTATTAACAAATAAAACACATGCCAGTTGGGTAGTCTAGTGTACTAATATGAGATTTAACCATCGTTTCTGTTTCCTAGGACCTGACAATATAAAATTTGGAAGATTCTTGATGTACCTAGATTTAATATTAATTCACACACACACAAAAAAAACACTTGGTAATATATGAATACTGGAGTTAACTGGCAGAGAATGATGCTGAAACATTCTCTGCATAGATCAGGGTGGTAGTTCCAGTGTTTGCCACTGAGGAATGAAGACTTCATTTATTATTTCCGTCACCCTTCATGCCACTTGACCCAATGTTTCTAAAGAAGGGACAACCACAGAAATTGCCTTTCATAAGAAGAATTAATGTTTTCCAATTTTGCCTTAGCTGAAGATCTGTATATCTTTTGTTGAGTGAGTTTACATATTAATTGTATATATTAGAATGATATATTATGCATAATCATATTATATAATACATACCAATATAATATTCAATGAATATATTTACAGTGAAAAGCAAAGAGACTATATTATTATAGCTTATGAAATCTGATGCTGGGTAAACTCATGATTTCCACTGAGAATTTTAAAAAATTATTAGTATCAGTCCTCACATCATTAGCTTATGTTGGTCACACTGAACATTTGCTACTAATGGTACCAAAGCAGATAAAAGAAACAGTCCTGCCAAACAATCCCTCCATAATAATAAAGTAGAAGATAAACATTGTTTTCTTTCTTTCTTTTTTTTTTTTGAGACGGAGTCTTGCTCTGTTGCCCAGGCTGGAGTGGAATGGCGTGATCTGGGCTCACTGCAACCTCTGCCTCCCAGGTTCAAGTGATTCTCCAGCCTCAGCCTCCTGAGTACCTGGGATTACAGGCACCCACCATGATGCCCAGCTAATTTTTTGTATTTTTAGTAGAGATGGGGTTTCACCATGTTGGCTAGGCTGGTTTCGAACTCCTGACCTCAGGTGATCCACCCGCCTCGGCCTCCCAAAGTGCTGGGATTACAGGCATGAGCCACCACACCTGGCCAAATATTGTTTTCTTATTATGCTATCTTTTGAATCTTTCGTGAATAGGCAACTATCTTTGCTTACCACAAAGGATATTTCCAGCAATTGAGTTGAAGTATCAGAATGTTTTAAAAACCATTTTACATATCTTAAAAAGAATGAGTTTTTAATTTTTTACACTTATGGACAAAATGAGGAGAGGAGGGGTAAAAATTCATTCAGTGTGCTCCTTTTCCCAAGTCCATATGCTTATAATACATTTGCATGGCTCCCACACATATTTCACATAACAATATACTCTTTTTTAGTAATTTCCAAAAGAAATTCATCCTAACGATTTTCTAGTTTTCTAATATGCTTCAATATGACTCAGCATTTAGTGATCAGAAATAATTTACATATATTTTTAAATGTTATATTTATAAATATGCTGTTAATAGTCATCCGTAGAGGCTGAGGTGAGAGGACTGCTTGAGGCCAGGAGTTCCAGACCAGCCCGGGCAACATAGTCAGACCCAGAGTCAGTCTCTACAAAATTTTTTTAAATTAGCTGGGCAGTGGGCATGTGGTGGGGCAGGGGTGTGATGTGGTCCTAGCTACTCAGGAGGCTGAGGCTGGAGGATCACTTGAGCCCAGGAGTTCAAGGTTGCTAGCCATGATCATACCACTGCACTCCAGCCTAGATGACAGAGTGAGACCCTGTCTCAAAAAAAAAAAAAAAAAGTCATCAACAAAATTCATAAAAGGGTTAAATAATTCAATAGCTCTAGGAATACCACACACATCTGTGTCTCATCCTCCAAGATAAGCAGCCTGCAGGATGAGAGTCTATTCCAGGATGTGCCTCCAAGTGCAGTGATTTCCTTTCAGCATCACCTTTCAGGTAAAGCTACCCTTCCTCTCTAAATTCAAATTATCTACCTGAAGAAATTGTCCCATTTTAAATATTGGGAACTTTTCCTCCTAGCAGAGGACTATAGTTTAAACAAAACTGTACTGTTTAAGGTATTTCAATTTGGATTCCTGATCTCTAAAATCAAAGCATGACATCCCATTAGCAGCCTACTCTCGCTCACTGGTTCCAATTACAACTGTGTTTTAGAAATAGCCTCCTTTGGAGATTTCTTCATGCTGCTTACAGGAAACATAATTTCTAGCATCCATTATCCATCTTATTTCATCATCAACCTTGAAAATATGTTTATGTCTACATGGGAAATTTTTTTTGATTAAACAGAAACATTAGTTTTTGGTTATATCCATGGTATGAAATATTCTGTCTTAACAAGTATCATTAAATGAATGGAGAAAGAGGGGCTTTTCACTCAGTGAGGGTGAGATGAGTGAGGGTGAGAGTGAGGTTACTTATTTGGAAAAATAAATTAATTCTTATCTTGGACCTTATGTATATCAGTAAGACTAAGATACATTATGTGACTTTGGATATCAAAGATATAATTTTTGGCATTCAAAGTCACATACTATTTGCCAGTCATGTATTGCCTGGGACTCTTCTCATCTTCACCAGGCTGACAAAGCAGCTACCATTAGAATACAGCTTGCTGATCTGCCAAGGAAAAGAGAGCTAAGACAGGTCTTGCACTGGCAGTTAAATGCTTCAACCCCAATTTGGTGATCATCAGACATGAACAATTCATTGTCCTGAACTGGTCATATGGCCCAGAACCAGCATGGCCCTATCCACAAGGAAACTAGTACATGCAATTTCACTATGTGCCTTGAAGGAAAGAACTGGATATATTTGTTAAACCAAATATTTGGCCCACTTTGCTAACAGAAATAAAATAGTGATTACACAGTGCACAAAGATCAGCTCCAGATGGAAGAAAACATGAGAAAATGTTTTTAAGACTGCAGAAGGATTTTCCAAACGAGACTAAAAAGCCCAGATCCTCAGTAGCACTGTTGATATCTTTCACTATAATAAACATTTAAATTTCTATACAACAACAGGTCCATAATTAAAACCATAATTAAAATGTTTAGAAATATGTGGACTAGCTTTACTGAAGTAAAGTCTTTTACAAAACATCTATAGATGTGAGATAAAATGTTATAAGCATATTTTACTATGTGTGGCTGAAATGGCAAGAAAGTAATGGATATTCTCAAGAACCCAAATATAAAATAAAACGAAAAGAACTACCAAAAACAAGTACAACCTCAACAGGCAGGTAAATGGCACTGAAGCACACTATTTCCTCAAGATCATCTACTAAGCCCTTATAGAGCACCTGTGTGTAGCTACATGTGGATGCGGAGACTAAGGCATAGAGACTCCCATATAATGATGGGAACCTGAAAGACGACATCCTCAGTGGAAGGATAGTAGAGGAAAATCCTTCAATGCAGGTGGTGATCCAAGGGAAAATTTCCATACTGGGTATGGGATAATGAAATAAAACCAAGCAAAACTAATAATTTATGACCTGTAGTTAGTAGTAAAATGATTTGTTTCCCATATTCATACTGAGGGATCTAAAATATACCAGTTCAATCATCCTGCTAAAAACAGTAGTTATTTGAGATATAACAAATTATATTTCTGAAGATATCAAAATGCTCATAAAATAATAATGAATAAACAGACCAAAATCTGTGAGAGTAAGAACCTGGAGAAGTAAGCAGAGTCCTAAAGCTGCTTTACCCCCAAGAGCATGTGCTGAACCCAATCCTGCATTGGAGCTCTATTTTTAATGGCTTCATGGTTGCTGGGGGAAGTGCAGGCAAACCATATTACTTTAAAGGTGAGTACTGAAAAGGTTGTTAACTCGAGATAATTGAGCAATACATGCAAACACTTCTCACTCTCATTTCTATCTTCACTCCACCCCCAGGCAACAGCTTGCCAAGTTGTATTGTTGTTATAGAGCATGAAAGAGGGAGATCTTTCCCAGAAGCTTGTAACCACTGGCATACCTATTCAGCCTGGCTTAAATCCAGGACCTCAAAGGGCAACACATTTAAAGCATGAACCAGAAAAACAAAACAAAAACAAAAACAAAACCCTAAAAAATCTAGCTAAAGGCCACTTGCCTATCTAGAACTAGGTTATGATTGCAACATGGAAAGACAGAGTGAGAGAGAAAGAGGAACAAGAAGAAGAAAATAAAGGTGAGGAGGGAGAGAAAAGGGAAGAAGAAATAAAAGAAGACAAAGAACATTAAGTTAAAGATGAAGAGTGGGGGGCACAGTTGTACATGCTTGTAATCCCAGTACTTTGGGAGGCAGAGGTGGAAAGATCTCTTGAGGCTAGGAGTTTGAGACCAGGTAGGCCAGGCAACATAGCAAGACCCTGTGTCTACCAGAAAAAAACAAAAAACAAAAATCAAGTCAACTGTGGTGGCATGTGTCTTTAGTCCTAGCTATGCAGGAGGCTGAGGTGGGAGAGTGGCTTGAACAAAGGAGTTTGAGGCTGTAGTGAGCTTCGATTGTGCCACTGCATTCCCACCTGGGTGACAGTGTGAGACCCTGTCTTTAAAAATAAATGAGTGAATAAGTAAATATGAAAACAAGGAGAGAAAAAGTAAGGAAAGAATGAAATAAAAGGGAAGGGAGGGAGGGAGAGAGAGGAAGAAAGAGAAAAAAACCAGAAAAACCAACCACATGCTCTCAATTAGGCAGGTTTGAGGCTGACATTGGCATTATTCATGTGTGAAAACAAGTAAACCTAGGAAAAATGTAACTCATACACATATAATCTCAAAGATCTATGTCCAAAAAAGCATAAAGAAAGCCTATCAATCAATAACAACAACAACTGTAATATAAAAAAAGGCTAAAGACATTTCAAAAAAGTGAAAAAATTAAAGGCCAATAAACATATAAAAAGATATAAAGTGAGGATTGTTTCAAGATGGCCGAATAAGAACAGCTTGTCTACACCTCCCAGCGTGAGCAACACAGAAGACAGGTGATTTCTGCATTTCCAACTGAGGTACCAGGTTCATCTCACTGGGACTGGTTGGGCAGTGGGTGCTGCCTACGGAGTGTGAGCCGAAGCAGGGTGGGGCATCACCTCAACTGGAAAGTGCAAGGGGTTGGGGAATTCCCTTTCCTAGCTAAGGGAAGCCATCACACACGGTACCTGGAAAATTGGGACACTCCCACCCTAATACTGCACTTTTCCAACAGTCTTAGCAAATGGCACACCAGGAGATTATATCCCGCACATGGCTTGGTGGGTCCCATGCCCATGGAGCCTTGCTCATTGCTAGCACAGCAGTCCGAGATCGAACTGTGAGGCAGCAGTGAGGCTGCAGTGAGGCTGGGGTAGGGGGTCTGTGATTGCTGAGGCTTGACTAGGTAAACAAAGTAGCTGGGAAGCTCAAACTGGATGGAGCCCACTGCAGCTCAAGGAGACCTGCCTGCCTCTGTAGACTCCACCTCTGGGGGCAGGGTATAGCTGAACAAAAGGCAGCAGAAACTTCTGCAGACTTAAACGTCCCTGTCTGACAGCTTGGAAGAGAGCAGTGGTTCTCCTAGCATGGAGTTGAGATCTGAGAACAGATAGACTGCCTCCTCAAGTGGGTCACTGACCCCCGAGTAGCCTAACTTGGAGACACCTCCCAGTAGGAGCTGACTGACACCTCATACAGCTGGGTGACCCTCTGAGACGAAGCTTCCAGAGGAAGGATCAGGCAGCAACATTAGCTGTTCTGCAATATTTGCTGTTCCGCAGCCTCCGCTGATGATACCCAGGAAAACAGGGTTTGGAGTGGACCTCCAGCCAACTCCAACAGACCTGCAGCTGAGGGTCCTGACTGTTAGAAGGAAAACTAACAAACAGAAAGGAATAGCATCAACATCAACAAAAAGGACATCCACACCAAAACCCCATCTTTAGGTCACCATCATCAAAGACCAAAGGTAGATAAAACCACAAAGATGAGGAGAAATCTGAGCAGAAAAGTTGAAAATTCTAAAAACCAGAGTGCCTCCTTTCCTCCAAAGGATCGCAGCTCCTTGCCAGCAATGGAACAAAGCTGGATGGAAAATGACTTTGATGAGTTGACAGAAGTAGGTTTCAGGAGATCAGTAATAACAAAATTCTCTGAGCTAAAGGAGGACGGTTGAACCCATCACAAGGAAGCTAAAAACCTTGAAAAAAGATTAGACGAATGGCTAACTAGAATAAACAGCATAGAGAAGACCTTAAATGACCTGATAGAGCTGAAAACCATAGCACGAGAACAACGTGATGCATGCACAAGCTTCAGTAGCCGATTCGATCAAGTGGAAGAAAGGGTATCTGTGATTGAAGATCAAATGAATAAAATGAAGCGAGAAGAGAAGTTTAGAGAAAAAAGAGTAAAAAGAAATGAACAAAGCCTATAAGAAATATGGGACTATGAATGGGTGGGTTGCCCCTCCACACCTGTGGGTGTTTCTCGTTAGGTGGAATGAGAGACTTGGAAAAGAAAGAGACACAGAGACAAAATATAGAGAAAGAAAAAGGGGGCCCAGAGGACCGGCATTCGGCATACGGAGGATCCACACCAGCCTCTGAGTTCCCTTAGTATTTATTGATCATTATTGGGTGTTTCTTGGACAGGGGGATGTGGCAGGTTCATAGGATAATAGTGGAGAGAAGGTCAGCAGGTAAAAACGTGAACAAAAGTCTCTGCATCATAAACAAGGTAAAGAATTAAGTGCTGTGCTTTAGCTATGTATACACATAAACATCTCAATGCCTTAAAGAGCAGTATTGCTGCCCGCGTGTCCCAACTCCAGCCCTAAGGCGGTTTTCCCCTATCTCAGTAGATGGAATATACAATCGGGTTTTACAAAGAGACATTCCATTGCCCAGGGATGGGCAGGAGACAGATGCCTTCCTCTTGTCTCAACTGCAAAGAGGCGTTCCTTCCTCTTTTACTAATCCTCCTCAGCACAGACCCTTTATGGGTGTCGGGCTGGGGGATGGTCAGGTCTTTCCCTTTCCACGAGGCCGTATTTCAGACTATCACATGGGAAGAAACCTTGGACAATACCTGGCTTTCCTAGGCAGAGGTCCCTGCGGACTTCCGCAGTGTTTTGTGTCCCTGGGTACTTGAGATTAGGGAGTGGTGATGACTCTTAAGGAGCATGCTGCCTTCAAGCATTTGTTTACAAAGCACATCTTGCACAGCCCTTAATCCATTTAACCCTGAGTTGACACAGCACATGTTTCAGGGAGCACAGGGTTGGGGGTAAGGTTACAGATTAACAGCATCTCAAGGCAGAAGAATTTTTCTTAGTACAGAACAAAATGGAGTCTCCTATGTCTACTTCTTTCTACACGGAGACAGTAATAATCTGATCTCTCTTTCTTTTCCCCACAGGACTATGTGAAAAGACCAAATCTACATTTGATTGGTGTACCTGAAAGTGACGGGGAGAATGGAACCAAGTTGGAAAACACTCTGCAGGATATTATCCAGGAGAACTTCCCCAACCTAGCAAGGCAGGCCAACATGCAAATTCAGGAAATGCAGAGAACACCACAAAGATAGTCCTCGAGAAGAGCAACCCCAAGACACATAATTGTCAGATTCACCAAGGTTGAAATGAAGGAAAAAATTTTAAGAGCAGCCAGAGAGAAAGGTCGGGTTACCCACAAAGGGAAGCCCATCAAACTAACAGTGGATCTCTCGGCAGAAACTCTACGAGCTAGAAGAGAGTGGGGGCCAATATTCAACATTCTTAAAGAAAAGAATTTTCAACCCAGAATTTCATATCCAGCCAAACTAAGCTTCATAAGTGAAGGAGAAATAAAATCCTTTACAGACAAGCAAATGCTGAGAGATTTTGTCACCACCAGGTCTGCCTAACAAGAGCTCCTGAAGGAAGCACTAAACATAGAAAGGAAAAACCAGTACCAGCCACTGCAAAAACATGCCAAATTGTAAAGACCATCGATGCTAGGAAGAAACTGCATCAACTAATGAGCAAAATAACCAGCTAACATCATAATGACAGGATCAAATTCTCACATAACAATATTAACCTTAAATGTAAATAGGCTAAATGCCCCCATTAAAAGACACAGACTGGCAAATTGGATACAGAGTCAAGACCCATCAGTGTGCTGTATTCAGGAGACCCGTATCATGTGCAGAGACACACATAGGCTCAAAATAAAGGGATGGAAGAAGATCTACCAAGGAAATGGAAAATGAAAAAAAGGCAGAGGTTGCAATCCTAGTCTCTGATAAAACAGACTTTAAACCAACAAAGATCAAAAGAGACAAAGAAAGCCATTACATAATGGTAAAGGGATCAATTAAACAAGAAGAGCTAACTATCCTAAATATATATGCACCCAATACAGGAGCACCCAGATTCATAAAGCAAGTCCTTAGAGACCTACAAAGAGACTTAAACTCCCACACGATAATAATGGGAGACTTTAACACCCTACTGTCAACATTAGACAGATCAACGAGACAGAAAGTTAAGAAGGATATTCAGGACTTGAACTCAGCTCTGCACAAAGCAGACCTAACAGACATCTACAGAATTCTCCACCCCAAATCAACAGAATATACATTTTTTTCAGCACCACACCACACCTATTCCAAAATTGACCACATAGTTGGAAGCACTCCTCAGCAAATGTAAAAGAACAGAAATCATAACAAACTGTCTCTCAGACCACAGTGCAATCAAATTAGAACTCAGCATTAAGAAACTCACTCAAAACCACACAACTACATGGAAACTGAACAACCTGCTCCTGAATGACTACTGGGTACATAACGAAATGAAGGCAGAAATAAAGATGTTCTTTGAAACCAATGAGAACAAAGGCACAACATACCGGAATCTCTGGGACGCATTTAAAGCAGTGTGTAGAGGGAAATTTATAGCACTAAATGCCCACAAGAGAAAGCAGGAAAGATCTAAAATTGACACCCTAACATCACAATTAAAAGAACTAGAGAAGCAAGAGGAAATACATTCAAAAGCTAGCAGAAGAAATAACTAAGATCAGTGCAGAACTGAAGGAGATAGAGACACAAAAAAAACCTTTCAAAAAATCAATGAATCCAGGAGCTGGTTTTTTGAAATAATCAACAAAATTGATAGACCTCTAGTCAGACTAATGAAGAAAAGAGAGAATAATCAAATAGATGCAATAAAAAATGATAAAGGGGATATCACCACTGATCCCACAGAAATACAAACTACCATCAGAGAATACTATAAACACCTTTACATGAATAAACTAGACAATCTAGAAGAAATGGATAAATTCCTGGACACATACACCCTCCCAAGACTAAACCAGGAAGAAGTTGAATCCCTGAATAGACCAATAACAGGCTCTGAAATTGAGGCAATAATTAATAGCCTACCAACCAAAAAAAGTCCAGGACCAGAAGGATTCACAGCCGAATTCTACCAGAGGTACAAAGAGGAGCTGGTATCATTCCTTCTGAAACTATTCCAATCAACAGAAAAAGAGGGAATCCTCCCTAACTCATTTTGTGAGGCCAGCATCATCATGATACCAAAGCCTGGCAGAGATGCAACCAAAGAAGAGAATTTTAGACCAATATCCCTGATGAACATCGATGCAAAAATCCTCAATAAAATGCTGGCAAACCGAATCCAGCAGCACATCAAAAAGCTTATCCACCATGAACAAGTTGGCTTAATCCCTGGGATGCAAGGCTGGTTCAACATATGCAAATCAATAAACGTAATCCAGCATATAAACAGAACCAAAGACAAAATCCACATGATTATCTCAATAGATGCAGAAAAGGCCTTTGACAAACTTCAACAGCCCTTCCTGCTAAAAACTCTCAATAAACTAGGTATTGACGGGATGTATCTCAAAATAATAAGAGCTATTTATGACAAACCCACAGCCAATATCATACTGAATGGGCAAAAACTGGAAGCATTCCCTTTGAAAACTGGCACAAGACAGGGATGCCCTCTTTCCCACTCCTATTTAACATAGGGTTGGAAGTTCTGGCCAGGGCAATAAGGCAGGAGAAAGAAATAAAGGGTATTCGATTAGGAAATGAGGAAGTCAAATTGTCCCTGTTTGCAGATGTCATGATAGCATATTTAGAAAACCCCATCGTCTCAGCCCAAAATCTCCTTAAGTTGATTAGCAACTTCAGCAAAGTCTCAGGATACAAAATCAATGTGCAAAAATCACAAGCATTCCTGTACACCAATAGCAGACAAACAGAGAGCCAAATCATGAGTGAACTCCCATTCACAATTGCTAAAAAGAGAATAAAAGAGCTAGGAATCCAACTTACAAGGGATGTGAAGGATCTCTTCAAGGAGAACTACAAACCACTGCTCAATGAAATAAAAGAGTACCCAAACAAATGGAAGAACATTCCATGCTCATTGATAGGAAGAATCAATAACATGAAAATGGCCATACTGCCTAAGGTAATTTGTAGATTCAATGCCATCCCCATCAAGCTACCAATGACTTTCTCCACAGAATTGGAAAAAACTACTTTAAAGTTCATATGGAACCAAGAAAGAGCCCTCATTGCCAAGACAATCCTAAGCCAAAAGAACAAAGCTGGAGGCATCGCACTACCTGGCTTCAAACTATATTACAAGGCTGCAGTAAGCAAAACAGCATGGTACTGGTACCAAAACAGAGATATAGACCAATGGAACAGAACAGAGCCCTCAGAAATAATACCACACATCTACAGCCATCTGATCTTTGACAAACCTGACAAAAACAAGAAATGGGGAAAGGATTCCCTATTTAATAAACGGTGCTGGGAAAACTGGCTAGCCATATGTAGAAAGCTGAAATTGGATCCCTTCCTTACACCTTATACAAAAACTAATTCAAGATGGATTAAAGACTTAAATGTTAGACCTATAACCATAAAAACCCTAGAAGAAAACCTAGGCCATACCATTCAGGTCCTAGGCATGGGCAAGGGCTTGATGAGTAAAACACCAAAAGCAATGGCAACAAAAGCTGAAATAGACAAATGGGATCTAATTAAACTAAAGAGCTTCTGCACAGCAAAAGAAACTACCATCAGAGTGAACAGGCAACCTACAGAATGGGAGAAAATTTCACAATCTACCCATCTGACAAAGGGCTAATATTCAGAATCTACAAAGAACTTAAACAAATTTACAAGAAAGAATCAAACAACCTCATCAAAAAGTGGGCAAAGGATATGAACAGACACTTCTCAAAAGAAGACATTTATGCAGCCAACAGACACATGAAAAAATGTTCATCATCACTGGCCATTAGAGAAATACAAATCAAAACCACAATGAGATACCATCTCACACTAGTTAGAATGGCAATCATTAAAAAGTCAGTAAACAACAGGTGCTGGAGAGGATGTGGAGAAAAAGGAAAACTTTTACACTGTTGGTGGGACTGTAAACTAGTTCAACCATTGTGAAAGACAGTGTGGCGATTCCTCAAGGATCTAGAACTAGAAATACCATTTGACCCAGTGATCCTATTACTGGGTATATACCCAAAGGATTATAAATCATGCTACTATAAAGAAACATGCACACGTCTGTTTATTGCAGCACTATTCACACCAGCAAAGACTTGGAACCAACCCAAATGTCCATCAATGATAGACTGGATTAAGAAAAAGTGGCACATATACACCATGGAATACTATGCAGCCATAAAAAAGGAAGAGTTCATGTCCTTTGTAGGGACATGGATGAAACTGGAAACCATCATTCTGAGCAAACTATCGCAAGGACAGGAAACCAAACACCACATGTTCTCACTCGTAGGTGGGAATTGAACAATGAGAACACTTGGACACAGGGTGGGGAACATCACACACTGGGGCTTGTCATGGGGTGGGGGGAGGGGGGAGGGATAGCATTAGGAGATATACCTAATGTAAATGATGAGTTAATGGGTGCAGCACACCAACATGGCGCATGTATACATATGTAACAAACCTGCAGGTTGTGCACATGTATTAAAAAAAAAGGATGTAAAGTAAAACCACTATGAAATGGTTTTTATACTTGTAAGGGGCACTCTTTCCAGCTGTCCAGGATACCCGTTTCTCCCAGCCATTAGCGCTTGAGACAACTTAACCTCTTCTAATGTCTAGAAGGATGGAAATAACTAAGACTCAACCAAACTCTATCCCTCATTTAAAATAAAATGCCTCTTAAAAGGATAAAAACAGGAAATATGACATTTCTCTAAACAGTGTAATAGTAATAGATGTAATAGTATAAATTACATCTGTGACAAATAATGAAAAAAATCCAGTTGAGGATGTGAAGTTCTTATTGCTTCCTTCCAGGTTGTGCTTAGTTACCCTTGAGAGAAAGGAACAGGAGAGAGTTCCTCAAGATGGCCTTGTGGTTTGGAAAATATCCAAAGGTTGTGGAGATGTCGGGACATTATTCTGCAGATTTTGTTTTGTTTTCTTTTTTTTTTTTTGAGATGGAGTTTCACTCTTGTTGCACAGGCTAGAGTGCAATGGTGCCATCTTGGCTCACCACAACTTCTGCCTTCAGGGTTCAAGCAATTCTCCTGTGCCAGCCTCCCAAGTGGCTGGAATTACAGGCGTATGCCACCACGCCCAGATAATTTTTTTTGTATTTTTAGTAGAGACGGGGTTTCTCCATGTTGGTCAGGCTGGTCTCGAACTCCCGATCTCAGGTGATCCGCCTGCCTCGGCCTCCAAAGTGCTGGGATTACAGGCGTGAGCCACCATACCCTGCCTATTCTGCAGATTTTATTGGGATATTAGGGAGGATTAGAAGTTAAGATTTTATTAAGTCCAGTGGCAAGAAAACACAAAAACACCAAAGCCTATTCTTCTGGCCACGGTGAAGGAGGGGGCCTGAACCCAGCAGATGCCATTTGCATTGATGTTTACCATTCTGATTCCCAAACTTGTGGGGATAGTGGGGGCAATGAGTGTGCAAATGTAACATTTAGCAGCTTGAAAAGACCTGAACTTGTTTTGCTGTGGTGTGCCTCTTTAGCATCTGACTTCAGAGACCTGGAGAGAAGTTTTAAAGAATGTATTGTGTCTGATAGAATGTGAGATATTTTAACAATGCAATCATTGCAAATTAACAAAAGCTGTTCTAATCTCCAACCACTGTTTTCATTCTACCCACCAAGAGATTAAGCAATGTGGGGACTGCATTTCAGAATTTACCTACTAAGATGGTACACCAAATCAACTGTTGGGCTGCAGTAGTACAAAAAGAAAAAAAGTGGATTTTTTTTTTTAATTTAAGCTTCTTATGGGTGCTCATGTCTTATCTAACTCAACTCAAGACAAAAAACCTAGTGTTCCTGCATTCATCGATGCCATAATATTTATAATAATTCAACAACAAAGACCCTGTACAGAGCATTAGCTCTCTGAATACTTCCAGAAATGAAGCCAATGGACTATATTCAATGTATAACACAGTCAAAGGAACATCAACTCTCCCAGATACAAAAGAATCAGTGTAAGAACTCTGGCAATTCAAAAAGTCAGTGTCCTCCTACCTTCAAATGAGCCCACTAGCTTTCCAGCAATGGTTCTTAACCAGTGTGAAAGTCTGAAAAGAGAGACATAGAATTCAAAATCTGGATGGCAAGGAAGCTCATTGAGATCCAGGAATAAGTTAAAACTCAATCCAAGGAAGCCAAGCAATCCAGTAAAATGATTCGAGTTGAAAGACAAAGTAGCCATTTCAAGAAAGACCTAAACTAAATTCCTTGAACTGCAAAATTCACTATAAGAATTCGTTGAACAGTTGTAAGTATTAACAGCAGAAAAGAACAAGATGAGGCAAGAATCTCAGAGTTCAAAGACCAGTTCTTCAAATCAACTCAGTCAGATAAATATAAAGAAGAAAGAAATAAGAAAGATGAACAAAACTTCCAAGAAATATGGGATTATGTAAAGAGAACAAATCTACATCTCATTGGCATTCCTGAGAGAGAAAGAGAGGAAATGAACAACCTGGAAAATATATTTAATGAAGAGGTAATTTGTGAAAATGTTCCTAATCTCTCTAAAGAAGTTGACATGCAAATCCAAGAAATACAGAGAACCTCAGCTAGATACTATACAAGATAACCATCCCCAAGGCACACAGTCATCAGATTCACCAATGACAATGCAAAAGAAAAAAATCTTAAAGGCAGCTGGGAGAAGGGGCAGGTGACTTATGGAAGGAACCCCATCAGGCTAGAAGCAGACCTCTCAGAAGAAACCTTACAAGCCAGAAGAGGTTAGGGGTCTATTTTCACTGCCCTAAAAGAAAAGAAATTTCAAACAAGAATTTCATATCCAACCAAACTAAGCTTCATAAGTGAAGGAAAAATAAAATACTTCTTAGATAAGCAAATGCTGAAAGAGTACATTTCATTAGAGCAGTCTTACAAGAGGCCCTTAGGGAGTGCAAAACATGGAATCAAAAGAATGATACCTGCTGCCGCAAAAACATGTGTAAGCACATAGCCCACAGGCACTATAAAACAACTGCACAATTAAGTCTACATAACAACCAGCTAACAACATGATGACAGGATTAAAATCACACATATCAATACTAACATTAAATGCAAATATGCCAAATGCCCCACTTAAAATACATAGAGTGTCAGGCTGGATAAAATGATAAGACCTAATCATCTGTTGTCCTTCACAAGACCCATTGCACATGTAATGACACCAACGACTCAAAGTAAAAGGATGAAGAAAGGTTTACAACGCAAATGGAAAACAAAAAAGAGTAGGAGTCACTATTCTTACATCAGATAAAACAGACATTATGCCAATAAATATTAAGGACAGTGAAGGGCATTACGTAAAGATAAAGGGTACAATCCAACAAGAAGCCTTAACTATCATACATATATAAGCACCCAGTCTGGAGCCCACTGTTTAATTAAGCAAGTTCTTGGTCTAAGAAAAGACTTAGCAACCCCACACTAATAGGGGAGACTTCAATACCCCACTGACAGTGTTAGACAGATTATCAAGGGAGAAAACCGACAAAGAAACTCTGGAAAAAGTCAACTCTTCACCAGTTGGACCTAATAGTCATCTACAGAACACTCCACCCAGCAACCACAGAATATATATTTTTCTCATCTGCACATGGAACATGTTCTAAGGTTGACCACATGCTCAGTCGTAAAGCCAGTCTCAATAAATTCAAAGAATTGAAATCACACCATGCACACTCTCAGACTATGTGCAATAAAACCAGAAATCATTATCAAGATAATCTCTCAACACCACTGAAATACATGGAGGTTAAACAACTTGCTCCTGAATAACTCCTGAGTAAACATTGAAATTAAGGCAGAAATAAAAAAAATCTTTGAAATTAATGAAAATAGGGACACAACTTAGCAAAATCCCTGGGATGCAGCCAATGCATTGTTAAGAGGAAAGTTTATAGCCCTAAGTGCCTTCATCAAGAAGTTAGAAATATTTCAAATCAACAGACTAGCTCTACACCTAAAGGAAGTGAAAAAAAGAGAATAAACTAGACTCAAATCTAGCAGAAGAAAAGAAGAGCTAAATTAGAGAAGAGCTTAATGAAATTGAGATGCAAAAATACAAACAAAACAAACATCAATGAAACCAAGAGTTGGTTGTTCAAAATAAAAAAAAAAAGATTGATTGACTACCAGCTAGACTAACAAAGAAAAAGAGAAGATCCAAAAAAGCATAACCAGAAATAACGGAGGCAATATTACAACTACAGAAATACAAAATACAAAAATACAGAAATACAAAAGATCCTCAGAGACTACTATGCACAACTCTTTGCACACAAATTAGAATATCTAAAGGAAATGGATAAATTCGTGGAAACGCACAATTTCCTGAGATTGAATTAGGAAGATATTGAAACCCCGAACAGACCAATATCAGCTTCTGAAATTGAATGAGTAATAAAGAACATACCAAGAAAATAAAAGACCTGAACCAGATGGTTTCACAGCCAAATTCTGCCAGATGTGCAAAGAAGAACTGATTCCAATCCTACTGAAACTATTAAAAAAATTGAGAAGAATCTCCTCACTCATTCTGTGAAGCACAATCAGCCTGATACCAAAATCTGGCACAGACACAACAGAAATAAAAAGGTTCAGGCCAATATTACTGATGAACATAGATGTAAAAATTCTCAACGAAATATTAGCAAACCGTACCCAGCAGCACATCGAAAAGTTCATACACCACAATCAAGTAGGAAATACATGCAAAAATCAATAAATGTGATTCACCACATAAATACAATTAAAAGCAAAATCTATGTGATTATCTCAATACATGCAGAAAAAGCATGAGATAAAATGTAACATCACTTTATGACAAAAACCCTTAACAGATTAGGTATTGAAGGAAAATACCTCAAAATAATAACAGCCATCTATGACAAACACACAGCCAACATTATACTTAATGGGCAAAAGTTCAAACCATTCCCCTTGAAAACTGGAACAAGACAAAGATTCCCCACTCTCACCATGTCTATTTAACATAGCATTGGAAGTCCTAGCCAGAGGAATCAAACAAGAGAAAAAAAAAAAAGGCACCCAAATAGGAAAAGAAGTAATCAAACTATCTGTGTTCACTGATGATATAATTCTATGCCTAGAAAATCCTATAAGCTCTGCCAAAAGGCTCCTAGAACTCATAAGTGACTTTAGTAAGGTTTCACGATACAAAATCAACGTATAAAAATAAGTCACATTTCTATACATCAACAATGTCCAGGATGAGAGTGAAAGCAAGAACACAATTCCACTTACAATAGCCACAAAAGAAATGAAATACCTAGTAATACAGCTAATCAGGGAGGTAAAAGTGCTGTACGAGGAGACTATAAACCCTGCTGAAAGAAATCAAAGATGACATAAATAAATGGAAAAACATTCCATGCTCATGGATTGGAAGAATTAATATCATAAAACAGCCATACTGCCAAAAGCAATCTACAAATTAAACACTATTCCTATCAAACTACCAATGTCATGCTTCACAGAATTAGAAAAAACAACAGCAACAACAACAACAAAAACAAAAACTTCTAAAATTCACATGGAACCAAGAAAGAGCCCGAATAGCCAAAGCAATCCTAAGCAAAAAGAACAAAGCTGGAGGCATCACACCACCCAACTTCAAACTATACTATAAAGCTACAGTAACCAAAATAATATAGTACTAGTACAAAAACAGACACATAGACTAATGGAACAGAAAAGAAAACTCAGAAATATGCCACATACCTACAACCATTTGACTCTTGCCAAGGCTGACAAAAACAAGCAATGGGGAAAGGACTCTCTATTCAATAAATTGTCCTGGGATAGCTGGCCAGCCATATGCCAAAGACTGAAGCTGGACCCCTTTCACCATATACAAAAATTAACTAAACATGGATCACAGATTTAAATGTAAGACTTCAAACTATAAAATTACTAGAAGACAACCTAGGAAACACTCTTCTTGACATTGGCCCTGGCAAGAAATTTTTGGCTAAGTTCCCAAAAGCAATTTCAATAAAAACAAAAATGGAAAAGTGGGACATAATTAAACTAAAAAGGTTCTGCACAGCAAAAGAAGCTATTAACAGGGTAAATAGACAACCTACAGAATGGGAGAAGATATTTGCAAATTATGCGTCCAATAAAGGCTTAATATCTAGAATCTATAGGGAACATAAAGAAATCAACAAGCAAGAAACAAATAACCTCATTAAAAAATGGGCAAAGTATATGAGCAGATACTCCTCAAAAGAAGACAGACAAGCAGCCAAGAAACATAAAAAAATTCTCAGCATCTCTAATCATCAGAAAAATGCAAATCAAAATCACAATGAGATACCATTTTACACCAGTCAGAATGGCTATTAGTAAAAGGTCAAAAAAAACAACAGATGTTGGACAGTCTGTGAAGAAAAGAGAATGTTTATACATTGTTGGTGGGAATGTAAATTAGTACAGCCACTGTGGAAAGCAGTCTGGAGATTTCTCAGAGAACTTAAAATAGAGCTACCATTCGACTCAGCAATACCATTACTGGCATATACCCAAGGGAAAATAAATCATTCTACCAAAAGGACACATACACCCATATGTTCACTGATGCAGTATTCACAATAGCAAATACATGGAATCAATCCAGGTGCTCTTCAGTGGTAGATTGGATAAAGAAAATGTGGTACATATATACCATGGAATGCTGTACAGCCATAAAAAAGAATGGAATAATGTCCTTTGCAGCAACATGGAGATGGTTGGAGGCCATAATCCTAAGTGAGTTAATGCAAGAGTAGAAAACCAAATACTGCATGTTCTTACTTAGAAGTGGAAGCTAAACATTGAGCACACATGGACATAAATATGAGAACAACAGACACTGCAGGCTACTACAGTG